>NC_000012.12:41096491-41248006 GCF_000001405.40 Homo sapiens | reverse complement strand
GCCATGACTGCCTAAAACAACAGTCCAATAACTTTCACGTCTGTGAGCCTTCAGCACATGGATTAATGCCATTGCTTTCTGTAGCTGAAATGCCTGATAATTGTATGCATGTCCCAAGTATATTAACTTAAATCAGGATCTTCTAAAATCTTAGTTTGAGCATAGATCTTTTAAAATCAATTTCCAAATACCCATGTTCGAAACTGGCTACCCTAAGCACAAATGCTATTTTTCTTTTTTAAAGTCTTTAAATATTTTGGAAATATAAGTATTTATTAAAAGGATGGGAGATAAATGGGCACTTTAAAAAAATTGTTACATCAAGGTACATTCTATCTTCTATCCAAGCCTACTATGCCAAGAAACATATAACAATTACTATGTTAGAGATTTATTGTATTTCTCCAAGCTGGTCACAAGTAAAGCCAAACCCAGGAATTGGAGTCAAAAGGGCGATGAACCCTACCACAGAGGAAGAATATTTGTTCATCACATAAAACATTTTAAAGGAACCCCCCAAGTTAAATCAACAATCAATCAACTTATATTGGGTAATTTCAATGGTCAGTGGAGTGTACCAGCATGTGTAAATATCAGCTTGTTAAAACAGATTCTGAAGCCACACTTTCAAAGATTGTGATTCAGTGAGTTTTACTGGGGCCTGAAAATCTGCCTATCTAGCAGCTCCTCAGGTAATGCTAGTTCTGCCAGTCTGCATACCTTAATTAGGAGATAATGTAGTAGGCAATATAATAAGCATCTTACTTCCAGAGTTCTCTTCTCAACCAGCTGTGATACATCGTTCCTCCATACTCTCTAAACATTTTTACTTATGTTGTACCTTGGACCATGATTATTTTGGTATTAATTCCTTTACTAAATTTTAAATTATTTGACCCTGGGATTCCATCAGCATTATAGTCCTCATAGTGCCTAGCAGAGAAGACTGGATATATTGGATCTCAATATATTTGTTGAATTTGAAAGAAAAAAAAAGGAAGAAAGGGATGGATGAATGACATAGAAATTCCTGAAGGCCTGAAAACAAAGTGAGGCAAAATATCCTAGCCGAAGACTCAATACAGAATGATCTCTGTACCTTTCAGAGTAAATAGAAAAAAAATTAACTGTATAGAATGTCTGTATGGAGCAATGCTTCTAGCTTCCAAAGCAATGCAGAGGTCATTTTCTTCACTGTATTTCATGTCCGGTGGCATAACAGGACTCATTAGTGGTCCAAAGGCATTAAGAATAACAGAGTTGAACTCATATTTGCTGTTTTACAACTCCCACTGAATGGGAAGGTTCATAAGATAAAGAACATGAGAGCAGAAACAGTTGCTGTAGGAAAATTGGTTGTGATGTCAAGCCCCTGCAGTTGATCTCACCAAAATGCCAGGAACTTGTTACCTCATCTATAGCTCCAACAAACCACTACAAGTTAGCTGAAAAAAATTAGATGTAGTAATAGTGTCACAAAATGTCACAGGGCAACAAACTGCAAACGTTTTGGATGAAAACTTCCTCTGCACATGAAAGAACCCAATAACAAGAAGAATATTTTTAGATTAATATCCATCCATACCTATCCACACAGCATAATCTGTTGCCAAAAATTTAACTATCTTGTAATGACAGCTTTTCAATATAGAGTGAAATACACTGTCCATCAACTGTACAATTAACTGTACAGTTGAAATACCCTGTCAATTAACTGTACAATTGTTTTAAAACCTCGATGAATATATTGGACTAATCAAAATCATATTCATTGCTGATAAAACAAAAGTTTTAAAAAATCTATGCAGACAGAGCTCATATTAAATATTGAAATGATGTAATCAAATGACATCAAAGCAAATTATCAAAAAGACATTTTTATTTTTCTGAGAAATCTCCCTACAGTTGGAACATGTCTCCTGTCTACCCAAAGCTCCTCAATCTGCATGCTATTAATTACCATCCTAAATTTTGAAGACTTAAAATCTCAGATGGCTTTTGTCTCCCTAGAGAATAATTCCATATGCCTCCACATTGCAAACAAGATCCTTCGCTTTCCCCAGACTACCCCTCTAACTCACCTTCTATCACCCAACTGGACTGAGCCACATCTAATTTGTAGCCCAGGCATTGTTCTGTTTCTTTGCAGGGCAGATGTGACATAAGGGTGGGGCTGCCCTTCTTTTGCTCTCCATTTTAATGAGTTCTTGCTTTGATTTCCATGAGGAATCAGTCTAAATACTGTTTCCTCTGCAAAGACTCCTCCTCAGCATAGGAA
Source organism: Homo sapiens (assembly GCF_000001405.40). NCBI lineage: Eukaryota > Metazoa > Chordata > Mammalia > Primates > Hominidae > Homo > Homo sapiens. The sequence continues at coordinate 41,245,728 of NC_000012.12, read as the reverse complement.
CAGTTACTGTTTCATCCATTATATTGCCATATATTTTTTTTCACTTTTTATTATGGAAAATGTTGAACATTTTAAAACACAGAAAGAATGAATCCCTATATTCCCATTACCCAGATTCAACATTTATGAACATATTTTTCATGTACAGAAATCATTCCCTCCACCACATATCATTTTGAAGCCAATCCTAGGTATCCTATTACATTATCCATATATATTTCAGTGTATACAAAACTTTTTATAGGACTCTACTAGAGGGGTTGTCATATCATATTCTAATTAATTTTGTACATGTCCATCTTTCCTGCTTGAAAGCAGAGCTCTTATTTTATTAACATTTGAATCCCCAAGGATTGAAATAGTATCAGGCATATAATCGATATGTGTTTGTTGATAAAATAATTCACTTGTTCATTTATTCATTCAACAAATTTGTATTAAATGCCTAACAGGAGGCTGCACTGTTCCAGGTTCTAGAGATGTCATGAACAAAACAGGCAAAGTCCCTGTGCTCAGAAATCTTTTGCTCGGGGAAGTGTAATAAACCAATATATATATAATACACAAGAGGATGAGAATGCTATGAAATACAATAACACACTGCCAAGACGCTAGCTAGACAGTGCCCAGGGTGGTAACTAGGAATGCTATCTTATATGGGATAATTGAGGAAAATCTCCCTGATAAGGTGCCATTGGACCAGAGATCAATGTGAAGGGAGTGTCAAGACAGTGGTGTGGGCCGGGCGCGGTGGCTCACGCCTGTAATCCCAGCACTTTGGGAGGCCGAGGCGGGTGGATCATGAGGTCAGGAGATCGAGACCATCCTGGCTAACAAGGTGAAACCCCGTCTTCGTCTCTACTAAAAATACAAAAAATTAGCCGGGCGCGGTGGCGGGCGCCTGTAGTCCCAGCTACTCGGGAGGCTGAGGCAGGAGAATGGCGTGAACCCGGGAAGCAGAGCTTGCAGTGAGCCGAGATTGCGCCACTGCAGTCCGCAGTCTGGCCTGGGCGACAGAGCGAGACTCCGTCTCAAAAAGAAAAAAAAAAAAAAAAAAAAAAGACATTGGTGTGCTTGGGTGAAGGCCTTCCAGGGGCAAGCCTGGCATGGGCAACACTCTGAGGCGGGAGTCTGCTGGACCTGCTGAAGGAACAGGAAGTGTTCTGGTTTGGCAAGGGTGGAGTAAGCAAAGGAGAGAGGTGTAGAAGGTAGGGTCAGAGATGCAGCAGTGGAGCAGATCATGTAGAACAATGGCCAAGGAAAGAACTTCGGATTTTACTGAGGAAAATGGGAACTCATTGCAGAACTTTGAGCAGAGGAGTAACATGATTTGACTTACAGCCACAGGAACACTCTGGTTGTGGTATGGAGAATACACCTTAGTGGCACAAAAGAGGAAGGGAGAGAGACCAGTTAGAAGGTATTGAAATATTCTAGGAGAGCGACACAATGGCTTAGTGTAGATGGTGAGATGGAATCTCAGGTAAGGTGTGGGAACAGGAGACAAGGGTGACTCTGAGGGTTTGGCCTAAGCAACTGGAAGAATAGAATGGCCATTTACCAAATTGGGGGAGTATTTTGGGGGCAGGAATTGGAAATCAAAAGTTTGAGACGTGGGGAATTTGAGATGTCTATTAGATGTCCAGTTGAAAATGTTGGGAAAGAAGATGGAGTTTGGGATAAAGGTCAGACCTACACATAAAATATTAGGAGGCATAAAGGCTCCTCCAGCCTTGGATCTGGCTGAGATCACCTGAGAGTATGTAGGAAATACAAGCCATCAGAGTACTCAGTCTGGAGGCACATTGAGAGACTGGGAATATGAGAGGGAAATGAATGATGTTTGAGTGAATATGTTAGCTAAGCTTATGAAATAGGAACATTAGTTATAGGGATATCATGTCTTCATATAAAGTCCTATATTACATCTAATGTATTATAAATAGAAATGATATTCTGCTACTGTGAATTAGCTATCAGGCAGTGCTATCCCATAGAGAAATGAAAAAGTACTGAATCTGTAACACATAGTAAGAAAAACCATTACCTCAAATTAAAGTATGAAAGATAATTTTATTTTATTTATTTTATTTGTTAATAATATATTTATTTTAATTGTAGTTGTGAACAGAAAGGGACTCCAATAGATCTATCTGGCTTTAAATACAGACTAACTGAAAATATTTTTAACGTATTCAAATGCCGTGATATCACTTGCATGAATAATAACTTCTGCTTCTCAGCTAGTTGCCTTGTCATTACCTTGGCACAACTCATGAAATCTGGTCATAAACCTGAAGTATTTTAAAATCAATATTTTTCCTTGTTTAACTGACTGAACTTATTAATTTTTTAAATTGTAATTATTCATTGTAATACCAGAACAATTAACCAAGCTGCCCCAACTAATAAAAATTAAAACAAATCCAAAGGGTAATGTCTGTGTAAAAGGTTAAAGTTGAAAATGTTACTTAGAGAAGTCTGACCTTGACTATGTCTCCCTATATCTTGCTATGCTTTTCACTCCATATGCAATCTGCTGATGGTAACAAGAACATTCTTCAGGCAAAATGAAGAGATACAAGGAAAACTTCCATTTCATAGGGGAAAACTCTGCTTTCCTCTACACTCAAAAACTTTTTGATCTAAAAATACAGGAGGCAGAAGTAACAGACAAAGAAAATAACAGCAAAGGAAAATACTGAAATGAATCTTACCTAGAATCAGATATGATGAAAGCATTAGGACCAACACACACTGCAATTAGGTGAAAAAGAGGAGCCAGAAGTTTATTAAGAAAAAGATGCTTCTGCCAATTCTATTTACCACTGGGCAGTGGCTATGCTGAGTGCTATGCTTAGAAGGGCACTGCAATTTTTTGCTAAGTGCATTAACTCCACAGCTGTGGAGACCTACAGGAAGTGACAGCTGCTCTCCATCCTCTCCAACGTGTTAAGGGAAAGTCATGTTTTGCAGCAGCAGTTTTATCTAACTGACATTTTGGGTGAAGCAAGAAAAAAATCGAAGCCAGCCTGGGCAATATGGCAAAACCCTGTCTGAAATCCCAATCAACTTTGTGTGTGTGTGTGTGTGTGTGTGTCCACAAGAACAAGAATAAAATGCTTCCTAATCTTAATAGTTCTTAATAATTTTGTGTTACAATTTGGAATAACAAGAGTGCTTTGTGTTGATCCTGAATAGTTTTAGAGCTCCCTTGTCCAGTGCTTCCATCAGAGATTGTGTGGATAGTTGTGTAACCAGCGAGGTATTATTAACATCGCATCCAATATATAACATTTATGGATATACATATTAACCTAAGTTATTGAGATACATTTTGTAAATGTTCAAATCATCAGATGATGGACTGCAGAACTCTGTCTCTCAAATCACATTTGAAATTCTCTTTCCCTCCTTGAGAAATTTATTTTTAGCATATCAATCAACTGTTTTGGAAAACAGACTAGAAAGTAGGTATCAGTATGACATCTTCTTTTCAATAGGGTTTAAGGAATCCTGAAGATTTGTATTTAAAAATTTTATTTCCATATGACCTGTGGGAGATGCTGACACTTTCATCACAGAGTTAAACACATACCTGGCTCAAGAGTTGGATAAGCTGAAAAATCTTGCAGGAGTCAGAGGAACTCTAGACCCACTTGCTTGCTGCCTCCTGCCAACAACATGAGCAGGCAGATCTCTCACACTGTGTGTGAGCTGCAACTGCAAGTGACCCTACCAAATTTCCAAGAGTGAAACATAGCTGTTGCTTCATTCTATCTTCTAAATCTGGCAGAAATTTCTCTTGTTGCTCATCTTAGACCAAAGCTATACTGGAAAGTTCTGACAGACTTAGTTCTAGCTTAGCTCAACTAAACACTATGGAGTTGTGAAATCTTAAGAGTGGCTGACACTATAAACAATCTAGGCTGGTCCCAGGAAAGCGTTCAGTGATCATAATAAAACCATGAATACTAATAAACACTTTTAATATTATCTTAAGAAACACAAGGTCAAATCACCAATGGTTTATAAAGGAAAAAAAAATGTCTGTGTGTGTAATTCCTATTATAGACCTTGCACTATATTAAGTGTTTCAATATTTACTGTATTATTTAATTCTCACAACAATATTCCAATGTATTTGTTATTATCCCCATTTTATAGATGAGGGAACTGAGATTCAGAGGAGATAAGTAACACCCATAACTACTGGGCCAGTATGTGGTAGAACAAAGGGTCAGGCCAAGCCAATCTGGTAACAAAAGCCCACGCTCTTTCGCTTAAGGATTGATTTTTAAGTCAGTTTGACTTTACTGTCTTTTTGGATTAATTTGCCTAACCCCTTTTAACAAATCCAAAAATCTAGATGCACAACAAAATTAACAACCAAACACAGTATATCATAGCTCCAGATCTTAATCCCTGGTATCCTTTATCTGCACAGATTGAGTATTCATAATCCAAAAATCCAGAATTTGAAACCTTGTGAGCACCAGCAAAATACTCAAAGGAAATGTTCACTGGAGAATCTGCAATTTTCAATTTTAGGATGAGGGATACTGTACCCATAAAGGTATATTCCAAAATATATTAAAAAAATCCAAAATCTGAAACACTTCTGGTCTTGAGCATTTTGGATAAGGGATACACAACTTGGAATAATAAGGAAAGAGCTAAAAGAGCTGGGGGTTGGGAGGGGGGAGGAGCAAAATAGATACTGAAGTTTTACCACTCTAAAACTTCATAATCCATAATCAATACAGAATTAGTAGGTCAAGAGACAAGTAGTTTATATACGCTATGGTCTGAATGTTGTGTTCCCCCAAAATTCATATGTTGAAATCCTAACCCCCAAGATGATAGTATTAGGAGGTGGGTCTTTGAGAGGTGAGTAGGTAATAAGGGCTTTGCCCTTATGAATAGTGAATAGGATTAGTGCGCTTATATCAAAGAGATCCCAGAGAGTTAGCTGGCCCCGTCCACCATGTGAGGACACAACACGAAGGCCCTGTCTACAAGGAAGTGAATCCCCACCAGACACCGCATCTGCCAGCACCTTGACCTTGAACTTCCCAGCCTCCAGAACTGTGAGAAATAAATTTCTATTGTTTATAAGCCACCTAATTTATGGTACTTTGTTATAGCAGCTTGAACAGACTATTTGAGTCATTGGCAGCCAATTTGAGTGATTTTATTGATGCGTTCACTGTCTTCATTGTAACTACATATCTGGCAGCCAAAAGCAGACACAAAGTATACATTAAATGCCTCTTCAGCTACTTCTAGTAGATGCACCTCTAAAATTTAGATTTTAGCTTTTTACTTTTTAGTATGATGCTGAAAAACTACAGTTATTACACCCATTATGTTTTGAGACAGGGCCTTGTGTGGTCCTTAGATGCACATATGGGAATTGAATCTCATTATGTCGTTGATGAAGATATCAAGAATCTCATTATGTCATTGATGGAGATATCAAGAAACAAATATTAAGGAAATCACCCTCAAAAAGACTTCTGGCAAACATTAGCTAGAAATTTGTCAAATGCTTACAATTAATGTAAATTCAATTATAATAGTAATATTACAAGGACAAATTTTTCAAAGCAGTGAGCAAAGAGAAGAAAGAAAATACAATATGCAATACAATTTGCCGCATTTTCAGCAACATGAACTGCTGCCTGCTTCAGTGATTTACTCCATGCTGCCCAAGTGGGCAATATGTGCCTTTAAAAAAATGCACATATTAGAACTCTCTAAAAAGGGAAAACTGATTCTCATAATGGATATATCAGGGTTTAAAATACTATCAAATATCTTTTCTCTGAAAAAAATTTAGCCCAATCCATTTCAAGGTTTTCATTTTTAACATTTGCCTTTTTAAATATGTGCTTTTATATTCTTCAAAATCCTACATTACACAACTCTGTTTACTCCTGTAGCATCTCCGGTATATATGCTTCCCAGTGAATCAGCAGAAAATATAAGCTGTTTAAGAAAGGACAATTTGACTTTCTAAAGCTTCGTAAAATAAAATCCGATTTCTTGAAAATGACTTATTTGATGTGTCTTTTGTCACCTTTCTTACCCCCAATAGCATATGGCACCTTTTACCTGGTAGTACTCAGCTAATATTTGGTAAATGAATTGAACACAGTAAAGCATGTAATTTCCCTATGTTATTACACTATTTCCAAATTGGGAAAACAGAACAGGTGGCAGATTTATCCCCTATAGTATTTTTTCCTTCAACTTTTATTTTAAGTTCAGGGATACATGTGCATGTTTGTGACATGGGTAAACATGTGCCATGGTGGTTTGCTGCACAGTTCAACCCATCACCTAGGTATTAAGGCAAGCATTTACTAGCTATTCTTCCTGATGCTGTCCCTCCCCACAACATTCCTCCACCCAACAGGCCCCAGTGTGTATGGTTCAGCCCGCATGTGTCCATGTGTTCTCATCATTCAGCTCCCACTTGTAAGTGAGAACATGTGGTGTTTGGTTTTCTGTCCCTGCGTTAGTTTGCTGAGGATAATGACTTCCAACTCCATCCATGCCCCTGCAAAGGACATGATCTTGTTCCTTTTTATGGCTGCATACTATTCCATGGTGTATATTTACCACATTATCTTTATCCAGTCTATCATTGATGGGTATTCAGGTTGATTCTATGTCTTTGCTATTGTGAATAGTGCTGCAAAGAATATATGCATGTAGGTGTCTTTACAATAGAATGACCTCTAGTCCTTTGGGTATACTACTCAGTAATAGGATTGCTGGGTCAAATGGTATTTCTGCCTCTAGGTCTTTGAGGAATCACCACACTGTCTTTCACAGTGTTTGAACTAATTTGCATTCTCGCCAACAGTGTAAAAGCATTCCCTTTTCTATACAACCTCGCCAGCATCTGTTGTTTTTTTATTTTATTTTTTAATAATAGCACTTCGGAGTTTTTTATTTTTTATTTTTTAATAATAGCCATTCTGAGGTTTTTTATTTTATTTTTTATTTTTTAATAATAGCCATTCTGACTGGTATGAGATGGTATCTCATTGTGGTTTTGATTGGAATTTCTCTAATGATCAGTGATGTTGAGCTTTTTTTCTTGTGCTTTTTGGCTGCGTGTATGTCTTCTTTTGAGAGGTGTCTGTCCATGTTCTTTGCCCACTTTTTAATGGGGTTGTTTGTTTTCTTTCTTCTAAATTTGTTTAAGTTCCTTGTAGACTCTGGATATTAGACCTTTGTCAGATGGACAGGTTGCAAAAATTTTCTCCCATTCTGTAGGTTTTCTGTTCACTCTAATGATAGATTCTTTTGCTGTGCAGAAGCTCTGTAGTTTAATTAAATCCCATTTGTCAAATTTAACCTGATAAGCAACTTCTGCAAAGTCTCAGGATACAAAATCGATGTGCAAAACATTACTAGCATTCCTATACATCAACAGCAGGCAAGCAGAGAGAGCCAAATCATGAATGAACTATCATTTACAATTGCCACAAAGAGAGTAAAATACCTAGGAATACAGCTGACAAGGAAAGTGAAGGCCCTCTTCAAAGAGAACTACAAACCACTGCTCAAGGAAATCAAAGAAGACACAAGCAGATGCAAAAACATTCCATGCTCATGGTTAGAAAGAATCAATATCGTGAAAATGGCTGTACTGCTCAAAGTAATCTATAGAGTCAGTGTTATTCCCGTTAAACTACCATTGACATTCTTCACAGAATTAGAAAAAAAACTATTTTAAAATTCATATGGAAAGAAAAAAGAGCCTGAGTAGCCAAGACAATCCTAAGCAAAAAGAACAAAGCTGGAGGCATCACGCTACCCAACTTCAAACTGTACTACAAGGCTTTAGTAACCAAAATAGCACGGTACTGCTACAAAAACAGACACATAGACAAATGGAACAGAATAGAGATCTCAGAAATAAGACCACGCACCTACAACTATGTGAATTTTGACAAAGCTGACGAAAACAAGCAATGGAGAAAGGACTCCCCATTTAATTAATGGTGCTGGGAGAGCTGGCTAGCCATATGCAGAAAATTGAAACTGGACCCCTTCCTTACAACTTATACAAAAATTAACTCAAGATGGATTAACGACTGAACTGTAAAACCCAAAATTATAAAAATCCTAGAAGAAAATCTAGGCAATACCATTCAGGACATAGGTATGGGCAAATATTTCATGACAAAAATGTTAAAGTATTAAATTAGATTATTTTACCATACATTACAAAGCAACACATACTGGGAATACAGTAGCAATAAAATCAGGAAAGCTTGTAATTGAGACATTTATTTAAACATCTATAGCAATAACATGGCCAATATGATCCATAAAGGTGTTTGCTACAAACGTGCCCATATTTAGTGACCTTAATTTTGTCAGATGTTTTATACTTCCATTTTATGAGAAAAAACTAGGAAATACATTTCTTTTTAAAATATTATGAAATAATTACTTTATTTCATCAAGTATTTCTGGACTGTATGCTCTGTCCATTTGAAAACTCTAGATTCCCATTTTTCCCAAGAAGTGCCTATGAGGGGGCACCAGTATCAAGAAGGTATAATGATTACAAGTTAATATCACCTAATTATGTTTTTTATTTTCATGTTTTATTTTTCCAGTGATGCAAGTTAGTTTTGTGAATTCTAATCCTTCTTGCCTTTTTGCAATCTGTTACTTATGTTAAATGTTTCCTGTGTAAACATTTGAAATGTTATCAGTCTTCCATTTTTAGAGTATAATATTATGAAAAAGACATTTTCTATCTTCTCTGGAGCCCCCTCTTCAATAAACCCCACACATAAAATAAAATAGATGCAGAAGCTTAAAATATAAATTGTTATGGGGCTATGAAAGAAAATCCAAGTATCTATGGTCTTATCACACCTTCCTTATTCTATTGATTGTGCTGAAATTCAGAAAGAATGGTGAGCTAATAAAGTGGGAAGAAAAAATTAAGATCTAGGTCTAATTGTTTCACTTGCCATATTGGCAAAAAGAAACAAAAAAACAATCCCCAGACTGTCATATGCTATGACATCCAAATCTATCACCTCTTCAGAGTCCCACTCCCCCACACCCATTCAAGTCCTCATTATCTATTGCCCATACTATTGAAAAGGCCTCCTAACTGACCTTTCTTCTCTCTTAGTCTCTTTTCCTTCATCTCTAATTTGTTTTGCAATGCACCAGCCTTATCTTCTTCTCCTTCTATAAAATCCTAAAACAGGCACCAACATGACACCCAAGGCTCTCTGTAATCTTGCCCTAAATGAGCCTCCCGCCTCACCTTCGTTTCCTCTGTGCTCCAGCCATGCCAGATTTCCCAATGCTCAGTCCAAGTACTGTGAAGCACCCTGCCCCCAATTCTGCTATGTCTCACTCTGTCATACACATCTGAAATGCCACTTCCTTCAAGGTGATTTCTTTGATCTTTGATCCCTGCAAAGAATCAATCTTTCCTGCCTTTGTGCTACAAAGGCACAAATAAGATAATTTTCTTCTGTCCCTCATGACATTTGTACATTTACTTTTATCTGTGTTATATTAAAGGTAGTCTTTCTTATTCACTAGATTGCAAACTTCTTTGGTTAGAAACTATTCAATCACTCTTCAATGTCTTTTAATCTAGGTGCTCAGTAAACATGGGTTATCAGACTGTAAAAAATATTTCAAATAAATGTAGAGTTTATTTTCTCTGGGATTAATTTGATTCCTGAAATGGCTAAGTTACTAACTTACACAGTTAAATATAACTCTTTAGCTTTAATTTAACTTTGAAAGTTCAACAATGAAAAAAAATGAGTGTTATACATTTGGAAATGAAATTACGTAATGCTGATGCCTGGTAATGTTCAAGCTGGTTAAACAAATATTTTTGGTGTGCCTGTGATACACAAAGCTTTAAGTTTGTGCATATCTATGCATTTCATCAAAGGTTGTAAACTGATTGCCTGTATGCCAAATGGCCCCTGAGGCCCGCGTGTATGTGGTTTGGTTCTTCATAGAGGGTTTTTAAAATTTTCAAACCAGCATTTAAAAATTGAGATGTTTTACATCTAAATTTAGGTTTCTATTTTTTTCTAAAAAACATAAGGTCTAGCATTTCTGGGCCCACATGCTTTTAAATTAACTTATGTGTCTAGTTCCCCAAAATCCTCACCATTCAAAAGCACACTGTGTGCATAGGAACTCACTCCCTGATCCTTCATGGGTGAAGTCTGCCTAGCCCTTCTAAGTTTTTCGAATGTGTGGCCCTGGTTAATATAATTGCTTATCTTCTTTGTTAGTTTAATATTTTCTAAGAAAAACTATAATATTGAAAAGCTAAACTTTAAACCCATATTGTTTTTAGTTTTGTTTCATTTTTTGGCCTTTTTCTTATTTTCCTAGGAGGTATATATTGTTGCAAAAGAAACACAATGGCACAATAATACATCAGGTGAGAAGGTCCTAGGGCTTGAGACATACCTATTGCTATCAAGATGAAGAGTTCATATTTGATTGTACTACTTTAAAAGTTTATATCTGAACAACATAAAATTACAGTGCTCATCTCCAAACCAGTATTCTTTAATTCTTACTTTATAATTGATAAGACAGACGAGGCATATTTAGGAATTCAGCATATTTCAATGCTCTGAAAGGTGTTTCTAATAGGTTTCTAAAGGACTGTGTGTTTAGGTAACCTTCTAACCCCTTCCGGTGTAGGTTAGTGGGGTCATTTACACAGACTGTTGGCTGGCTTCAAAAGCTGGGGTCTGAGGAGTGCCAGGAATGCATCCTTCCTCAGTCTCTCAGCCGGTCCACTTCAATTAGTCCCATATTTATTCACTCGTGCTCATTGACATTTCATCTTTGAAGGCTGAGACAGGCTGTCTCCATCTGTCGTAGGGTTAAGTAACCATCTCCAATTTCAGGAGATTCAATGAGCTAGAAAATACAGCTCTCATCCAACCAACTTTTAAAGGACACATTTATATAACTACTGAAGAGCAACTGAGAAAAGAAAACGTTGTCCTTTAGGGTTTTTATGCATGTGATTATTCCATCCCATACATGACTAATATGTACATTTAGATGAACCGCAAAAGCTTCCTATGTGCTCAAATGTGACTAAAAACTCTTATCCCAGGAATCCAGAAACCATCATTAAACAGTCTGTCTTTCTAGTTAGATATCTCTATCAGTGATAACATGAAAATCTTATATTTTCCACAAAAATTGTTTCACATTGTGATTATGGAAGTCCCTTTTTATAAATGGAATACACCCATACCCTCAGCCTAGGTTCTAGATTTCTCTGTTTTGAAGCTCTGAAAAATACATTTGAACTTTTCTAAGATAACTTTTCTGACCAATGGTCTTGAGTTTCTATTTTAATCCTGGCTGCTCATATTCCTAATTTACATGAGAATTCCAAATGTATGATTTCAGAGAAGGTATTCTTTATGTACATGTTTTGAAGGTAAAGAAAATTACAGGTTTCAATACTTGCCAAGATAATTTTGAAAAATACAGTGACAGTCTTAGTAGTAGCTCTATAAATTGGGGGGTTTAAAGGAAAACTATCAATATATATTATCAAGCAGATGCTTTCCAAAGGTTGGCTTTTTTGAGGTTTCTATTAATCAAGGAGCAATAAATTCACTAAAATGAATATTCCTCAAAGGGCCAATATTGCTTTCTGACGGGGGCCAATCAGAGAGTGATTCTCTGCTACATCTGGAAACAGATTTCTTTGTTTTTTTTTTAACTTTATTATTATTATACTTTAAGTTTTAGGGTACATGTGCACAACATGCAGGCTTGTTACATATGTATACATGTGCCATGTTGGTGTGCTGCACCCATTAATTCATCATTTAGTATTAGGTATGTCTCCTAATGCTATCTCCCCCCCGCTCCCCCCACCACACAACAGTCCTGGGTGTGTGATGTTCCCCTTCCTGTGTCCATGTGTTCTCATTGTTCAATTCCCACCTATGAGTGAGAACATGCGGTGTTTGGTTTTTTGTCCTTGCAATAGTTTGCTGAGAATGATGGTTTCCAGTTTCATCCATGTCCCTACAAAGGACATGAACTCATCATTTTTTATGGCTGCATAGTACTCCATGGTGCATATGTGCCACATTTTCTTTATCCAGTCTATCGTTGTTGGACATTTAGGTTGGTTCCAAGTCTTTGCTATTGTGAATAGTGCTGCTATAAACATACGTGTGCATGTGTCTTCAGAGCAGCATGATTTATAATCCTTTGGGTATATACCCAGTAATGGGATGGCTGGGTCAAATGGTATTTCTGGTTCTCGATCCCTGAGGAATCGCCACACTGACTCCAACAATGGTTGAACTAGTTTACAGTCCCACCAACAGTGTAAAAGTGTTCCTATTTCTCCACATCCTCTCCAGCACCTGTTGTTTCCTGACTTTTTAATGATCGCCATTCTAACTGGTGTGAGATGGTTTCTCATTGTGGTTTTGATTTACATTTCTCTGATGACCAGTGATGATGAGCATTTTTTCATGTGTTTTTTGGCTGCATAAATGTCTTCTTTTGAGAAGTGTCTGCTCATTTCCTTCACCCACTTTGATGGGGTTGTTTGTTTTTTTATTTTCAAACTATACTACAAGGCTACAGTAACCAAAACAGCATGGTACTGGTACCAAAACAGAGATATAGACCAATGGAACAGAACAGAGCCCTCAGAAATAATGCCGCATATCTACATCTATCTGATCTTTGACAAACCTGACAAAAACAAGCAATGGGGAAAGGATTGCCTATTTAATAAATGGTGTGGAAAATTGGCTAGCCATATGTAGAAAGCTGAAACTGGATCCCTTCCTTACACTTTATACGAAAATTAATTCAAGATGGATTAAAGACTTAAATGTTAGACCTAAAACCATAAAAACCCTAGAAGAAAACCTAGGCAATACCATTCAGGACATAGGCATGGGCAAGGACTTCATGTCTAAAACACCAAAAGCAACGGCAACAAAAGCCAAAATTGACAAATGGGATCTAGTTAAACTAAAGAGCTTCTGCACAGCAAAAATCTACCATCAGAGTGAACAGGCAACCTACAGAATGGGAGAAAATTTTTGCAACCTACTCATCTGACAAAGGGTTAATATCCAGAATCTACAAAGATTTCTTTGTTATCCCTCTCCTGATGTGCTAAACATGTAAGGATAAGAGAAACTTCATCTAGAACCATATAAATTTCACAATGAGCTGCCAAATTCTAGGCCTTGAGGATGCAGCCGATGAACACCCGCTTACAGATCCAGGAACTGCCTATGGAAAAATAGCAAAGGAATTTTTTTTCTTATTGCACATTCAGTGTATCATGAACCAGGGAAAGCATAATAATGCCATTCCTTATTTACCATCCTCTGCTGAAGGGCAGGTGAGGCTACATGAGCATCACCTTACACCTGCTTTATTATGAAAATAAATATTCCGCAACAGTATATGAAGACAGCATTTCATTAAAACTTAGGAATCTAAATTTCAGCTCTTACTTTTTTAGCATGCAGTTCCGTAATTGATTTATAATCTCAGTGGTTCCACTGCTTCAGATGGCATTCTACAACATGTCTTTGCAATTTTCTAAAACTGGCCTCTTAGAAATAGTCAAAAAAAATTTTTTTATATACCTCGTCTTTGTTTAGAAACAAAGAACTAATGTAAGTAAATCTTCAAATAATTCACTTATTAAAACAATTATAATTTCAATGATTTTTAAATTTAATATACTTTAAATTTAGTTACAAACAGTGCCATGGTAGTTTGAAAATGCTACTGTATAATGATCCTGTCTTTTTCAGAATAACTTCAACAATAAGAATTATCAGCCTGCTTTCATGGAACCATAAATTTTTGGTACTAGAACTGACCACAACTCAAGATGTAGTTTAGTAACTGTAATTGACAAATAAGGAAATCACAGTTCAGAAAATGTGAGAACTATTCACTGTCATATAGCAAAGTTAGGGCTGGGCCCTATAAAATAATAGCTTCAGGTTTTTCTGTCATCACTATTTAGTAAAAATAAATGAAACTAATATAATTTTGAAACAGTAAAAATGACTAAGTAAATTCTTATAAAGTCTAAGAAAAGATGCCATGCCATTCAGTACATAATTAGGAAAAACCATCACTCTGGAATAATCATACCTCCAGGGAAATCTATTTGCATGCCACCATCACTCTAACAACATGGGAGTCAAATAGATAGGCAAGTTAGCTATACTACCTTGCAGTGTTTTTGCTGTTATGTGTGTCACAACAGACCAAATCTGATCCTTTCTGCAATGAATGATGTTACCGGAAAATTAGGCAATGTAAATGCCAACAAATGAGTTTTTAATGCTGATGGCACAAAGGCATGTTAACATACATATATTTTTCTCTAATAAAAATCCTGAATAAAGCAATTGAGAAATTTATAAAACCCGGAATGGCAACAGAGCAATCTTACTGCTCAAGGGCTTATCAAGTCTAAATCAGCTCCTAACTCCCTGTATCTGTTTAGCCCTAATGAGTGTTTTTCATTCAATACATCATGTTACTATAGGAGGCAATGTGAGTTCATGAATGAATTTCTGTTTGATATATCCTTGATATTTCTTTTTGAAAACACACATGCACGTGTGTACACACACACCTACACACTCCATTAAACCACAGGGGAAGTGATGGGAATTACTTTAAATTAATCCTACCATGGCAGATTCAGGCAGCTCAGAGACAAAACAAAGAGTATATTGTTATTTTTGAATGTGACTGAAATACAGATTTTCTTGTTTTCTGGGTAAAAAAAGAGATTAGCTGTGTGTTAATATAAAAGAACTACCATGCATGTGACTATTACAAATAAAAGCAAGTATAAGAGTTGGAAATGAAAGACAAAAATCTATTTTTTTCTGAAAATTTCTAAAATAATTGAAACACTGCCTAAGAATAACAAATGACTTCAAAAAAGACGAAAAATTTTCAAGTGCAGTGATATAGATGAAATACACTTTATTTGGAATCTACCATTTCCAAGGAAGGAAGACTAGGATGTTACTGATTCCACACTACTATTAAAACAGGCCATCCTTATTTCTAACAGATTGCATGTATAACTTATCAGTAATGATAAATTCTTTGGGATACATGCCAGTGGAGAGAAGCAGAAATAAAGATAATCCAGCAAAGCAATAATCTAGAAATCACAAATATGACCTTTGATTGGGTGGCATGATTTTTGTTTTGTATTTTAACAGAAGACGCAGTTACTAGTTATTATTTCTTCAGAGTAATGAATATTCATTACAGTTATCCTGCCTGAACACATTCCAGTGATAAGTAGAGGGGCTAGGAAGGCAGTCAGGGCTAAAAATTTGCAACTGAGGCAATCATGGATGTATAAGTGTCCTCTAATATAAAGTTTCAAAAACCTCCCTACTTTCACATGGAATGCACTGTCCCTTACCCAGAACCTAAAGAGCGTGTGTACTCTGCTTGATCAACTTAAAGCTGGAGAGGGGGTGGCTTACTTTAAATTGTGCTGACATAGTGCCCTCCCCAGCAGCAATGTCCACTATATTCAAAAATGTTATCCGGTTTGTGATTTCTGGTCTCCAGAAGAGACACAGATGGCTTTGAAAAATGATTACTGTTGAATTATAAGGAAATCCCCAACACAGCAATACGAATCAGGTCATGAACCAGCTCTGACAAAAGCCGCTTGTGGAAACTTGGGAAAAACCACTAAGTCCACCAACTTTATGTGTAACAAAAATTATTGTATTTAAAAAAATATATACAGTTGGATCATCCCTTAGCTTCCAGCCTGGCAAAAGAGAGTCTCTTCCTAGTAAGAAATGTAGAGAATGTCATTGACCTCACCTTGGACTCTGAAGGTAGAGAAAGTCTGTTAATAAAATGGGAAATCTCTCAGGACCCAAGCCCTAAGCATTCATTCACAAGACTTCTGAAGGCCAGCACAAGAAGGGTTACAAATGAAAAAATCCAAGGGCACCATATCCAATGGTGCCAGAGGTCATGGAGTTCTTTTAAAGAATAATGTGAAACTCAAGGAAAGCAGATACCAGAACTGCAACTATTCCTATGCTTTGATATAGCAGATAGGGAGTAAGACAAGGAAAAGGTCATGGACTGAGGGAGTGGGGTCTGGGTCAAGCAGTATTCATGTAGTGTGCAATCATAACAGGCTACTCATGCTTACTTGAAATGCAGAGAATCTGCTGTTTAATGAGAAAGCAGATTTAACAGACATCACAGTGCACAGGGAATTTTGGTTGTGATCTTGAACCTGCCATTTTTGGTTATAAGACTTTTTAAGAATCCTGTCTGGCACTCTGTTTTATTTGAATAGGGAACTTTAAAAGATTCTTTCATTAAACAATTCTGGGGTGTGCCATAGTGAGCATCTTCAGGTTCATATTTTGCGTGGTCCATTACTAAGTTAAACAGGCACATTATTTCATCTAATGTTTACACTGATAACCCGAGACAGATCACCTGAGACAGATCATCTGTCTCAGGTTATCAGTGTAAACATTAGATGAAATGATGTGCAATTAGATGAATTAGTGAAAGAATGGGGGAAATTATGAAGCACTACATCATGCAGAATTTGATTGAGGTCATAGGTTTACTTCAGGGAGAGAATTTATATTTTTGGAAAAAAGGATGTCATATCTTCAGAATTCTTTAAGAATCTAAGCGTTAAATCCCATCCAGGCTGATACTCCAGCATAAACACTTCTTCTGTCTGATTTTTAAATTCTGTGAGATTATCTCTGTAGGAACAATTCATTTATTTCACATATAAAAACACAAAGAGTTTGAGAAAATCACCTCAGTTCATTGTATATACTATTGAATTTCATAGAAATAGCTAATGAAGTACTAAGGAACATTGTTTCCTTGAGCTACTTAAAGGAAGCTGTCAATCTGAACTTTGTTTTCTCTCTAAGAAAACTCATGCTTATACTTGGCAATGATATTACAATTGTCTGATTCATAAAACTCAGAGCATGGTAGCCTCCTGAGCATGGCATACCCAGAACAAAGGTAGCCTTTTTATTTAGGAAGATGATAACATTCTCCTGGGATCCTTAACCCAGTTAACACTTTAATCCACCATACACTTTCTTTTTTTGGCAAAAGGCCTTTCAAAATCCAAGAGTCAGTCTTTTTTTTTGACCTATTATATCCAAGTTAAATAGACAGTTCATATAATACTAACGGTGTTGTGAACTTTCTTGAATACTCACAAATTCTCAGAGCAGCACAAAAAATTATTCTGTAGTCAGTAAGTCTGACTTCTGCCCCAATACTTAATTAAAATTAGCCTCCAGCCTAAAGAAACCCTCATGAATTTCCCTTCTGTGCTTTAAGATAATTATGATGACATAAATGGTGATGTACTGATGAATGGCTGCCACTGTTCAAGTGATTGGAGAAACAGTTGAAAACATCTTCACTGGGCTCTGGCAGATTCGGAGGAGGATTGTTCATAACGTTCTGTAATAAGTAGATGTGGCATTCAGTCTTTATGGCTCCATATCACTTCCATTCAGATGACTGTCTTTTCCTGTACCATTTTATTTTGTCATTTCTGGTAACACTTTATTTCTACTGTGGATGGCATCAAAGACCTTTTCTTTTATAGTATAATCAGTCAACTAAATAGTACTGGTAAACATCTTTGAAAGTAATTATATTTTTAGAGTATGGTAATATACCATTTCAACCCTTCTGGTGTGTGTGTGTGTGTGTGTGTGTGTGTGTGTGTGTGTGTGTGTAGATTTTTGCTTGTTTTCTTAAGACACGACTTTTGCTTTTCCTTTCTATTTCTACTTTTGGCCATTTTGTTTCATTATCACACTTCACACAGGAGAGAAGTAGGCTGTGGTTCATTAAACACCAAACAGCATATATCTCATATGCACATGGTCACACTAGAGATCCTGGTAGCATCAATGTCTTAATGTTTGTTGTTGTTGTTGTTATTGTTGAGAGAGGGTCTGGCTCTGTTGTCAAGGATGGAGTGCAAAGGCATGATCTTAACACACTGCAACCTCCACCTCCTGGGCTCAAACCATCCTCCCACCTCAGCCATCCAAGTAGCTGGGACTACAGGTATGTGCCACCACACCTGGATAATTTTTGTATTTTGGGTAGAGATGGGGTTTTGCCATGTTGCCCAGGCTGGTTTTGAACTCCTGGGCTCAAGTGATCCTCCCACCTCGGCTTTCCAAAGTGCTGGAATTACAGGTGTGAGCCACTGCACCCAGCCTGATGTCTCAGTTTGCAACTGGTTAGGTCATTTGCAAATTCTATATTGGCCCTGATAAAATATAGAGAAGCAATGGGGTTATTCAAAATCACTGGGGATTTTAGTTCTTTGATTTAAGATAAACAGAACAAACCTCAAACTTAATCAGAATTACTTCTGAACACCACTTGACTGAACAAAGTTCTCATTCCCTAAATGTCACACATCTATCTTTTTAATTCACTATTATGCTTATTTTACTTACTATCTGTAAAAAATAATCTGACATTAGCATAACTCCTGGCTATTATTCTAAATATGTGTATTTTTCTATAGTTTTGAATAACTCTACCAATTTGGATAGGGAAAAGTTATCCGTTTAAGATGCATATGCCTATTTGCAATTTGGGATATCCTGCAACTGCATGATACAAACAGGCAAGAAACCTGGGTATTAGATCATAAAAACAGCAAGTACAATATGGTCAATAGAAAGTCAGTTTGACTGGCACAAAAAGCATCAGAAAGAATGCTATGCATAGGTCTTCAGAGGGTCTTCAGTCACAGCTCAATATTATGATATCTGGCCACTGATTATTTGGTATTTTCTTTAGGGCTTAACAGTTTTTCTAGCCTTAACATTATTAAAATACCAGAATGCATGGCAGGTGCAATACGTTGAAATACAGATTACAAATTTGAATCATGTGGCCAATATTTAAGCCACACACATTTTTTATGACCTTCACTGTTTTATACATCAGAGCTACATTTAAAATCGGGAGGATCTGTGCTTGACTCTATGAATGAACACCTTAAGTCAGTGTTTCCTTACGTTCATTTTTTTTTTTTAAGATTATGGACCCCTTTGGGAATCTAATCAAAGCTTTGTTCCTCCATAATTCCTTATTCCTTCAACAAAATTTACTCAAGAGCTTCTAGGTACCAGTCTTTGCTCTGGGCTCTGGAGTTCTTTGCAGTGAACAAAACCCCAAAATCCATGACCTCAAAGAGCTTTTGATCTAGTGAGAAGTAGATAGGAAAAAAAATCTAGGTACATAATGCAGTACATTAGAAGATGCTAGTACTATGGAGAAAAAAAGAATAGGGAAGGGTGGCAGGAAGTGCTAGAGATGGAGAGCTGCAAATTAAAGAGGGTGATCAGGCAAATGCTCACCACGGACCTCATGTTGGAGCAAAGCCATGAAGCTGGTGAGCAAATGGGCCAGGGAAAGGTCTTTATTTTGTAACACATATAGGACAACATATGACACACATCATTCTCCAGGCAATTTCAAGGGCTTTGTGTTAAAAAAAAAATGACACCAAATGATCAGTACGAACCTTTCAAGACATCATTTAACCACATCGTGGAATAAAGAGACTCAGAATGGGTAAATTGTTGACCGGAAAGAATGCCTGGAGAGGTAAGAATAGCAGGAAAAAAAAATTCAAGTGGAGACAAGAGTGTGCTGTTGACAAGGGTTACCTACTCCAGGGGGGTGCCTGGCTCCAGAATAGCTCAGAAGGATAGGAGAAGGCATGATGAAAATGAAATTCTGAGATGCCAACTCCTACAACACCTTATAGCTGTTATAATTAACATGCAAAACAAGCTGAGACAATGGATATGACACAATTGACGACAGAAATGGCTTGGGCTTGTATTGGTTACTGACTTGGAGGTAAGGGATAAAGTTTCTAGATCCCCCACCCCCATATTCAGTTGTCTCTTAACATCTTACCACTTGGAGTCATCCATTTTGATACAGAAAGAAAACAGAGAGAAATTAAAATAGGTGTGTTTTGTAAACATTTGTGGAAAATATTTGTGCTCCTTTAGCTAAATTAAAAAATTATTACAAAAGCATTTAAGTATAAAGCACTAAATTATAAGATAATTTTCCACAATTATATGTGTTTGGTTTAAAAGTAATACAGGTGACAGATGACATCAGAAAAAAAAAACACAGTGTAATATAAAGTGAATTATACTTCCCAATATGAATGATAAAATACATTACATCATTGATTCAGAGCTTTATTTTTAGCTTTCTTCCTTTCAATTTATTACATCAGATGCAACCACCCAGAGTTTAAAGTATTAAGATATTATTCTTCCTGTTTATAGACTGAAATTACAGCTATCTTTATTTAGCTTTGCAACTTAATGTGGTAAATAACTGCAAATTCTGGCAGTAAAAAATCATCAACAGGATAACGTAAGTCCAATAATTAATTCATAATGTACTATTTCTTGATAAAAATGTGAATAAATGAAAGCTATATTATATTTTTCTCAGTATAGCATGACTTTTTATACTCTGGAGACAGGAGAACTGTATATAGTTATAATGATCATTTGAATAAGTAAAACTTGTTCCTATTTTTCTTTAAGTATTCTATTTTTATTTTTCAGGCCAGGTATTATGATTTATGCTTAAGAAAACATGATCTCTATTACTAAAGTAGGATGGGGCAGTGTTAGGGTATTATTATGTAGTGATTAAAGCAATGAGAACTGGAGTTAATCAGCCTGCATTCAAATTCTGATGAAGCTACTGATCTTAAAGTGTTCATTTCCTCATCTGTGCAATTGGAATATTAGCAATAGCCACTGCTGTTGCAGCTCTTGTTGTTATATAATAAAAGGTGTATTGAATTAAGAGTCAGGAATTTTGACTTCTTGTCCCATCTCTAGGATTAAAGTAGATAAATTACTCTAAGACACAAACTCAGATTTTCTTACCTATACTATAAAATTGGAATTATCTCCATGATCAGAAAATATTCACAATTCTCTACTTCTCAGAACAGAAATTCTCTTGATTTTCTCTTTACTTTGTTCTTTAACTCCACTAAAAGCACTATCACTTGATCTCTTCCTCACGAAAGCCATTTGAACCTGTAAGTTTATCAAGTGTCATGCACAGGAAAAGTTCCACTCTTGTTCATACCCCAGCTATTAATTTTGGCAGTAATATTTAATACAATAAATGTACAAGACTGCAACAAAAAATAATGTAATGAATATGTATCAATAGATGGCTCATAACATGTCACACTTTAGCTGGCCATTGGTTAAGAGATTCATGGCACAGTATGGGGCAAGTAACATAATCTCTCTGAGCATTGTTTACCCATTTGTAAAACGGGGTTAATAAAAGCCCAACTCAAGTGCTTCCATGAGGATTGAATGCCACAGACTGGCAAGTAGTGAGCTTTCATTAAATGATAGTTTCTGGACAGCCCAGCTCCAGGACAAAATCCTATGGGTGACCTCTCAGATGCAACCATAGGCAATTGCAAAGCTTTGCCTGGCAGGCCTCAAGGGCAAGCTGCTCTGGCCACAGCAAACTTGGTGCAGTTTTCTGCAGAGAGTTGCACTCTAGAACTTAGTCCCCCTCCTACCATGTCCAGGACCCTTCTGGTCAGAGGCCTCTTTAGTGGAAGGCCGTGGCTGAAACACTTTTCTCCACTAAGATTCTGTACCTTTCCACTCCTAGCCCTTCCCTCTAACCCTGCCCTGGACCCACAGGGTCATAAAGGGGCTGCAGCCTTATTTTTTGGGTTTCTCAGCAGTGAGACAACTCCCCCTGCCTGTGCTGCACCCACCTGGCCATCGCCCAGTGCCATTCCACAGAGAAAATGGGGCTGAGGAGCTGTCAGTTCTTTCCGCCTCTTGCTAGCTCTGCTGCAGTGAGTGAATACAGGCTTGAGTACTACTTCAGCTCACTGTCCTAAGTGACCACTTCAAGACTTAATGGCCTAACAACTCCCAGCATCAATATTATTATCTTATTTTTAACATTTTAAAAACAAAAATTACTCTGATTTGGAATTTTGTATTTGGAATGCAAAAGATTACACTTTTTAAATAAAACAGCACAATCAATGTATTCTGTGTCTACAGGATTTGAGAGCAAGAGGTATATGTTATTCATCTTTGTGTCCTTTGTGTGATTATCTGAACTAAATACATATAGATGGGCTGGGTAGGGGGAGAGAAGGAGGGAGGAGTAGAGAAGAGAAGGAAGAGACAGGGAGAAATAGGGATGAATGGAATTTAGAAAATTTTACTGAGAACCTGACAAGACTAATCTTTTCTTTAATGTCTACATACACAAACCATCATAAAAGTAATTTATTTATTATATTCCAAATATTGATGATACTGCTCTGGATACAAATAAACCTATCACATGCTTACTATGAGTTCCTTCAAGGTGTTGCTTCTCATAGAGTCTAAGAAGAGCCAAATAAATATTGTAATACCTACCTGTTGTGTAAGCCTTACCCATTCTTTATATTAGACTGGTGCAAAAGTAATTGTGAGCTTTGCCATTTAAAAGAAGGCAAACACGGCAATTACTTTTGCACCAAGCTAATAATAAAGCAAAAATGGAATCTTAAATCTGTAATTTGGTTACCAAACATAAGCTACTAAAAATGAGTAGTTCTAGCCAAGGTAAGAATTATAGGATATACACCATAGATACTGTGGGTTCTATCTAACAGGTTTCTTACTATAGAAACACAGCTTATAGTAGTTCTATAGAGCTATAAATAATCCATTATAGGCTGGGTGTGGTGGCTCATGCCTGTAATCCCAGCATTTTGGGAGGCTGAGGCGGGTGGATCACTTGAGGTCATGAGTTCGAGATCACCCTGGCCAA
Organism: Homo sapiens; assembly: GCF_000001405.40. Lineage (NCBI taxonomy): Eukaryota > Metazoa > Chordata > Mammalia > Primates > Hominidae > Homo > Homo sapiens. Next base: position 41,222,727 of record NC_000012.12, on the reverse strand, counting down.
TATGATGAATCCCCATCTCTACTAAAAATACAAAAACTAGCCGGGCATGGTGGTGTGCACCTGTAATTGTAATCCCAGCTACTTGGGAGGCTGAGGCAGGAGAATCACTTCAACCCGGGAGGTGGAGGTTGCAGTGAGCTGAGCTTGCACCACTGCACTCCAGCCTGGGCGACAGAGTGAGACTCCATCTCAATAAAAAAATAGAAATAATAGTAATATATTACATTTTAGACAAACTCTATCAGAGAAACCTCATGAAATTTAGTATAAAACTCATTTTATACGAAATGAGTTTTCTCATTTCTGTGTGACCGAGTACAGCAGCAACCTGTTTCCTCTCAATCTGTACATCACAGCTGCCTAAGGGCAGATAGCAGTCTAAATAGGTGAGGTGGACAGGGAAAAGAAATGCCGAAAAGGACATTCCAAAATGTGCACAAACATTTTTTTAAAAAGTTAAATAAGTATCCATTAGCAGGAAATGAGCTGCAGGTCAAATGTCCATGCCTAGCAAAAAATACCATATGGCCCATGGCCTATGATGCAAACACAATTTCCGATAGTCTGCATGGTAGACTATGTGCTCCATATGGAAAAGGCAGTACAGAGGGCCTCTGGTCATATGCTGGAACTCTGGTGGTGCCAACCCACCACCACCATCAACTCCACGTGAAGGAATAATTTGTGAGCATTGCAATGCTGCTTCTGTTTCTTTTACCACATTATATCTTAGAAGACAAACTTTGTTCTTTGTTGTCCATGGCCTTGGCTCCAAACCCTAAAAGGTTCTCCTTGTCTAGTATTTTTTTCTTGGCCAAGGTACAAATATGTCTCGATGAGTATCCCCTGTAGGGGACTGGATCTTTAAAAGCTGTCAGTTGTGCCAGGAAAGTTAGGGGCCCAGTTTTCTCTCCTTTCTTGTCCGTTGCCTCCTTCTCACCACTTAACTTTCTTGAGGACAAATAAGTCTATAAGACTTGAAAAGGAAGGCCACACACACCCTTAATCAGATTTTTTCTCCTGAGTCACCGTAATTTGACCGCTAACTGCTTGCGATCTAGAAGCAGTTGGCTTTTCAAAGCCTGAAAAGCCTTAAATTACTACACTTTTAAAAATTCCTTATCAGTTCTGCTCATAAACTAGCCAGTTCTTTCCTGAGTTCATTTCCTTTTTGTGACATTTTGCCAAACACAGGTAATAAAAAAAAACCCACACTAATAAGGTTCTGTTTTTCAACCTTTTTCCTTAGAGCTGTTGATATATTGTCTAGCTTCCATATAATGCTCTACCAAATGTGTTGCCTGTAAGGATATGGATTAACATTGCTTCAGCCTTGGTTATCAGCTTTCTCTTCCCCATGTGCCTCATATAAGTTGATGCAATATATTTGGGTTACAATAGCACACCCACTTCACCGTACTAATTTCTGTGTTAGGACGAGTAAGTGCTGTAACAAACAATCCTCAAATCTCAGGGACTTAACATTAACTTCACAAGCCTTAAAGGTTTTGTTTCTTGATCACATAAAGTCTGAAGTGGGTGTTCCCAGTCCAAGAGCTCTCCTGGGTAGCCCCTCTCCAAGGACTCTGGAATCTGGCCTCCTTCCAGTGTCCTTTGTTTCCTGACATGTGAGCAGGAAAGAGAGAGAGCAAGGCCAATTGCATGGATGCTTCATGGCCTAGAAACAATATTACTTCCATTTGTATTCCTTTGCCTAGAACTCAGTCATATGGTCCCACCTCTATGTCCACAGAAAAATGAAAATGTAGAAATGCACAATGTTGCCTCAGCCATAACTGGGTTATAGGCAGTGTATGTAGAAAGGTGGAGCCTAAAATAGATGCTTTTCTCTATAGTATTTCATTTTGCTTCCAGCTTATTGTTGTGCTAACCACAAGTACTCAGATTTAACTAGTGTCAAGGTTAAGACCTCATTATTATGGATCTACCTTCTTGACTTATGCCTAACATTTTTCTGAATTGCCTGGTTTATTCCATAACCTCTCCCTCATTCCACTTACTTAGCCTTTTAGGGCTGTGGAACTGACTACAAATTTACTATGTTTTTCCTTACCAGAGTCTAGTTGTATACACTATCCAAGTCAGCTTCTGGCATCAGCTCCTCTCGGAGCCATTTCTTTGTTCTTTCAAACACTTATTTTAAAATCATGTTACTGAGTGCTACTTGATGGCAGGTCCTTCCTCTAAGTAGTGAGGATTCTCTTCTGTGCTAAATTACATCCCCTTTCCTGGCCAAATTTGTATGTTGAAACCCTTAATCCTCAGTACCTCCAAATGTGACTGCATTTGGACATGGGGTCTTTAAAGAGGTAATTAAGATTCAGTGAGGCCATCAGGGTGATCTCTAATCCAATATGACTGGTATTCTTCTAAGAAGAGATTAGGGCACAGACACAAGAGGAAAGGCCACCTGAAGACACAGCAAGAGGGTGGCCACCTACATGCCAAGGAAAAAGGACTCACGGGAAACTAACCCAGCCGACACTTGATCTTGGACTTCTAGCCTCCAAAACTGTGAGAAATTACATTTCTGTTAAGTTACCCGGTCTATGGGACTTTGTTATGGCAGCCCTAGCAAACTAATAAAGACTTTACAGAGGCAGGTGGGGGAAGAGCCACCAACATAAAAATCTTCATACCCTCTTGGAGCTTAGCTTCTAGGTTCTCCTTATTGCTGGGCACAGATCTTTCTGACTAGTCTTGTCTCCTTTGCATTTTCTGCCTTTACAGAAAGCACTCCCATGGATTTACCCTCCCCGTGAGCAGAGTCAGACATCTTGAGGTCAAACTGACACAGAAGAGTCGCCAAAATTTTCCCAATTAATGTTGTTGGTTATATCAGTAGCAGAAGCTACAGCAGCTTAAAATTGTTGCTGAATAAATGGAATTCCTAATAAAATTTGTGGAATGCATAACACAGCTTTGAGATATGCATTTAAAGAAAAAGATTCAGTTTTCTGCAAAACCAGCAAATACCCACAGCTCATATCATATCAAGGTTGCTTCTTCATACACTTCGTGAAGTATTACTCTGTGTTATCTAACAGTAAACTTTGTGCCTCTTCAAGGCAAGCTCATGTTTCTCGGGAGGCAGCTTTAATACCTCACCTCACATATTTCTTTCAAGTATTTGTGCTGTTTAAAATTCAGATTATTAAGAACATTACCAAGGCTGCAATTGATTAGCAAAGAAGTGAAGCTTACTCCCACTGTTAGAAGTGTCTCATTTCAACTTCTAGAGCATTATTACTAGATTATTCTTTCTCCTTCATCTCCATTTTTAATAATAAAATATTTACAAAAAGATAATATTTGCAGTAAATATAATCTGAAGTTTAAGACTATGCAGTTTTCTTCTCCCTACCATTCTCACCTCTAATCTTGACTGAACTCCTACTCAATCATCAAAATTCAGGTCAGAGATCATGCTCCCTGTGAACTTTCTCAGTCTTCTTCCCCTGGCTTCTTCCCACCAACCTCAGCTAGAACTAGGGTATCTTCTTTAAGCTTTCATCACAGCGTGAAAAACCCAGTGCTGTAATTCTCTAATCACCTTCAACCCTGAAAGGCAGGATCTGTATCTCTGTACACAAGGTACCCTCTCTAAATGTATGTTAAATCAGACACCATTTATTTTTACTCTTAAGTCTCTACGTTATTATTCCTTTACCTAAGAATAATAATATTCCTAGTAAGATAATATTCCTAGATCTAGGAATATTTTAGGAACAATAATATTCCTAGTAAAATAATATTCCTACATCTAGGAATATTCTAGGAAAAATAATATTCCTAGCTATTGGAATAATAATGTAGAGACTTATGTGTAAAAATAAATAACTGCTTAAGGATTTGGAAACATTTCTACAGTTAAAGTTTCTTCACTTGTAGCCAAATATTTGAACTTGCCATAAAGGAACAGAAATTAACTGAAAATGTGCAAGGAGCAATGGATAGGAAATATTTGAACATACTTTAATCTTTGTGTTATATATTTGCTGAAAGTGAGTTGCAGTTAATGATTTTTAACAGTTCGTTTTATATTATTTTATTTAACAGATACAACCAAATTATTTGAGAGTCTTTCTTGAGGAGTCACTTATTACGCCCAACAATTGTTATTAGAAAGAACACTCTTTACAGGGGGTATGTCAGTATATGATAAAATTTTTATATAATGAGCATTTTCCTAGACATTAAATTTTTTTTGAAACAAAAGCACAAGAATATGAGATGCAAATCAGAAGTAAATTTGCTATAGCAGATTAATAGTACAGAATGAACGTTTTCACCTTTAAAATGTTCATAGTCAGTGATCAGGCCTGCTCTGAAACAGAATTGCATTTGTCAGCCCTTGATGTATTTCTTTAACACTCTGAGAACCTCTCTCATGTGCCCTGTCTTCTTTATCCTGCCTTCCCCTGACCAAGGGACAAGGTATCAACTGAAGTGAAAATGAAGTAAAGCAATGAACTAGGAGAGGAGTACAGAGTCATATAACAGACAAAAGGAAAAGAGGCTTTTACTTGAATTATGCCACAAATCAGATGAAAGAAAGATCACTGCTTTTTAAAAATTGACTTAATTCTTTTAATAGGTTCATTATGCAGAGGGAGCAGCCTGAATGGTAGAAAGACTTGGAAGGCTGCTTTTGAAAACTGGCCTCCCTCAAAAGTTTCAGTTCAGTGAATGAATTCATTTCCACAGCCTTTTGGCCTTCTGCTATCTGACTTGTACATTCCAAGTCCTTTTCCATTTTGGTGGGGAAGGCAGTGCTCTGTGGGAAGTTTATATGAATCATGTGGTATCTTTTTTCAGTATTTCTTCAGTGAAGTTATGGATGGGATTTAGAAAGGTCTTGGGAGCACAGAGCGGAACTCTGCAAACTGGGAAACAGGGCCAAAATGTAGCCTTGTCTATCTTGTTGGCAGCTCACAGTAAGCAGGCCAAGGATGGAAGGTGTCTGTATGTTCCCTTTAAAGGAAGGAAACAAGCAAGAAGAAGGAGAGGAGGCTGTGGTAGAGAAGAGAAAATGATCTGTTTTACCCAGAGAATAGTCTTCTTTCAGGCTAAACTGATTTTTAACAATCAGACCTACCTACGTCTTTGTTGACTGTTTCAAATATAAACTTTTAATGGGAATGTCCTGGGGAAAATTTGGCATTACTATCTAATTGGATCTCTGAAACCTGCTATTTTTTTTCTCATGTTAAAAAATGACAGCACTCATTTGGTGCTTTTATTTTGTTTTGAGATGGCTCTGCAGTAATGGATGAAAGCCTTAGAGCAGGACCAGGTTGCAAAGCCCAGCACAACAGGAAAATCATTGTTCAAAAACATTAAGAATTTCAAGATGGTGACAGCAGAGCATTAAAATAAGGACAGGACCCCTCTAAACCTGAGCCCTGTGTAGCTTCCCAGTAATCACCCATGAAGCCAGCCCTGCCTTAGAGATTTCAAACAAAGACAAAATGGTTCATTGAGTTGCTCTGATTTGGAACATTGGCCTCTACTTCAGGAGCTGCTTGAACCTGAAGACTGAAAGTCCAGTCCAGACACTGCTCTAGCTTTAAGCACACTATTGCCTCATCTGCTGCTTAAACTAGCTTCTAACCTATCAGTTTTGACCAGGCAAACAAGAAAGGGATATGAAAGGATCATTCACAACAAAGGGAAGAAGCTGAAATCCACCTATTTGTTTTGAGAAGGATATGATGTTGGGGAGTTGATTTCTTCATGAGACAAATAGGTATTTCTACATGAGGAAAACTCTTCTATACAAGGCATTTATTATGAACATTAGTAAGGCAGGTGCCTCCTTTTTAAGAAGAATAGAGGGACATTAATTTAACTCAGCAGGTTGATTTGGTGATTATTTTTTTAACGTAATGTTTGATGATTCCATATTTCCTAAAAAAAAGAAAGGATGACAGATATCTGGTCTGTGTTCTGAAATGAATTAATCAGATGATTAATCAAATAAATTAATTAGATGAATTGATCAGAGCAGATCAAATAAACAGGCCCAGAATACTTTACTCAATTATTGCCTACTATAAAATAATCCAATTCAAAAAAGGATGTAAGTTTAGTGTTTAGAATATGCAGGCTTTCAGATCTGATGAACTATCTGTTTTATAAATAAAAATAGTTAATTTAAAAGATACTCAAAGTTTTTCCTGGTTTTAAGTATCAAAGTTTTACAGCTAAAATTGTTTTAGGAATGATTTCTGTCTTATATTCAAGTCAAACTCTTTGAAACACAAGCTTCTAAAATCCTACCCATCGTTCAAGGTCTATATAGAATCCTTGATTCCCTAAAACTTAATTTTATTCTTCTTCCCTTAAACAAACAACTTTCACCCCCAGTACCTTCTATCCTGTTAATGGCACTGATTATGTAAGAATTTGCATAATGATTGCTTGCATTTCTTATTTCCTCTTTTTAAACATCTATATAACATTATCAAGAACATTTAGATTACTCATTATTTCTCTATAATGTCCAGAACAATACTTTGAATGTACTCGTTGTACTAACTGTACTCACTCTGGATTTGGCCTATGGAAATGGATGTCACCTATTAGTTAAAATTTTATTTAACATAATTAAATTTGCTAACTAGTATCACTGAGACCAGAGTTCTGAGAAAGAAAAGAAATTGATAGAATGAGTTTGACAGGACCACAGGGGTAATAGGTATTTTAAGGTCCTTAACTAGTAATAGTACATTACATTTGTAGAACACTTTATGATTTACAAAATGCTTTCATGTAAATTACCTAACTAAATCCTCGTACTATCCTGAGATTTAGGAGAGCAAATTAAATTCAATGACAGATTAAAAAAAAAAACTATGGAGGCTTAGCGTGTTTATGAGGCTTTTTCAAAGACAAGTGGTAGACTCAAAGCACTGAATTTAGACCACTATGGGAGAAAGTGGAGAAAACTGGTATTAGGATGAGAGGTGAAATGATAAACCCAGATAGTCTTTGCCTAAGGTGAAAAATTTGCAAGTTATAATTCAAGTGGATATAACAATTACCTGTAAAAAAAATCCTACAATGTCTATGTAATCATCATGGCAGACAATCTGTTGAGGTTCTAATGACAGTGAATTATCAGCCAGAATGCAAATAAAACTAAAGGTACTTGCTTTACTATTCTACTAGTGAAAATAAAATTGTATACTTTTTGTTTATTATAAACTTTCAACATATCACTCGTGATAATTTAAAAAGTGATATTCAAATGGCATTCAAGAACACCATCAAGCAAACAATGTATAGATCTGAGTAGTCTAGACCTTAGAGATTATTTCACTAGGTCTGGGATTGAACTCTGGAATCTGCGTTTTTAACAAGTACCTCAAGAATGTGACATTATAATTTCTATACTATAGTTTTAGAACCTCTTCCCTAGAAGTCCTTAGTTAATACATGCTGAGATTGAGACAGCCCAGTAAACAATTTCCATTTTTCTAAGCCATTCCTTAATACCAAGATATCCTCAAAACTTAAACAAATGCATCCCTAATGGTGGAAATTCAAGCCAGGTAATTGGTGAGATGTGGAACATTTTGGTCAGGAAAGCAAGTTCACTATTCTCCATATCACAGAAGTGGCCTACCATGCAACTGTGTTTGAAGGCTATTTTCCATCCTAGAAAAACATATACATCTCTCATGAGTCTCTTAATTTCACAAATATATCTCACAGATTTTTATAGTTCATGAGAATCATCCACAAAATAAGAGTATTAGACTTTACCAGCTATAAAACACTTCTTTGAACATTATTTAATGCTTTTCAGACATTTTTTTCTCTCAAACAGATACATTATATAGCATCACCAAAGTATGATCAAATTTGTGAGTCACAGACTTCTGAAATCTTTTATTATTACCTGTTATAACTATTTTGAGTAGCTTTGATCTGTGTCATAGGATCTTATGTAAATTGCTTAATTTCTCTAAGCCCTAATCTCCACAGTAAGACAATGTGAAAAAAAAGTCATTTATAATGGCTTTCAACTCTAACATTTCATAAATGTAGTTGTAATTTTAGTCTAGGCAGAAAATCATATGCTAAATAGGCTGAAGAAATTAAGCCTACACACATTTTTCTTTTTAACATATAACCCTTTCTTTCATCTTTTACCTATTTATTCTAGCCAGAATTCTACTCAGGTTCGGATCTAGAGGATCATTTGTTATTTATGTTTCAGGAATTTCTCAACAGTCCCAAATAGATAACTTTTTTTTTTTTTTTTTTTTAGGGGACAGGGTCTCCTTCTATTGCCCAGGCTAGAGTGCAGTGGGGTGGTCATGTCTCACTGCAGCCTCAAACTCCTGAGCTCAAGTGATCCTCCTGCCTCAGCCTCCAAAGTAGTTGGAACTACAGGCATGTACCACCATGCCTGGTTAACTTTTTTTTTTTTTTTTTTTTTTTTTTAAATACAGGGTCTCACTATGTTGCTCAGGTGGGTCTTGAACTCTTGGCCTCAAGCAGTCTTCTGCTTTGGCCTTCCAAAGTGCTGAGATTAGAGGCGTAAGCCAATATATCCAGAAGATAACATAATCAATAGTTTACATAAGCTAGTTAGGTCAAGAATTATCCCACTACGTCTCTGATCAAGCTGCAGTACAAACCATACAGTCACTCAGTTTTAATAATTTAACAAAATTTTTACGAAGGTGGCTATGTACCACGCATTGCTTTAAATTTTTTGAAATATTAACTCATTTAATCTTGATAACAACTCTGAGGTTATTATCCTTATTTTAGGGATTAGGACATAGAGGACCAGAGAGGGTCAGTGACTCTTCTATACTAGAAGCAGCTGGTTGCAGGGCTGAAATTCCAATCCAGGCCACTGAACTCGAGACTGGGCTCCAAACCAATGCTCTGTGCTATTTTCTTAGATCAACTATTTGCAATGATGCTTTCCAAAACCTTGTTACAGGTTAATCAAAACACAAAATGCTGAAAAAACTGAGTCCCTTATTGTCATCAGGACATCACTTAAAGCAAGCTTGTCTAATCTGCCTTATTTTGTTGTTGTTCTGTTTTGTTGTATTTTAGGCTTTCAGCAGCCTGAAGCCATAGTTTTTAGTTTCTGTCTCTAGTGATAAGCAGAAAGAGGGATGAGGAAAGGGCTTTACTGGCCCAACCAGACACAGAAACTAAGAACAAATGGCTGTACAAGTGAACTGTCAGTGTGGGCATTGCATGCGCTCATGACTGTTTATTAAAGTGAAGAAGAGTAGCATTATTATTGTTAGACCAAAAGGAGGATGCCTGTTGCTTACGACTTCCCAGAGTCTGTTCGTGAAATATATGTTGAAGCCGTGGGTTTTCTCTCTACTGCCAAACCCCTCATCGAAACCACTGCCACCTGGCATCTGAACTACTGCACTGGCTGACTAGCCAGCCTCCCACTTCCATCTGGATTCCTCAAATCCACTTGCAACGTTACAGCAGAATGATTTCTTAAAATGGTAATTTGATCATGTCACTTCCCTGCTTAAATACTTTCATGGGTTCCTATTTTTCTTGGAATGAAAAAAGAAAACCCGATTTATAAATGGGGGAGGATATAATTTAACATCAAATTGGGGCACATTTGAGAATAACTAGGAGTATTAGTAATCATTTTGCCAGATCAACAAGGCTGCTAAGGGCAACCCAGATGTGTAGTCAACCTGTTTAAGAGATGTTCCAATAATTAGCCCCTCCCACTCTCCAATCCTTGCTGAGAGCCGTTCTTCCATCAGCTTTCTTTCAATTCCTATAATACACTAAGCCTTTTCCTATCACAGAGCTTCCGCACATACTCATCTGTCTCTTTAAAAAGCTTTGTCCTCAAATCCTTGCCTAGCTAACACTTAGTCATGTTTCTAGTTATGCTATAAATGTCACTCTTCAAAGAAAAAATCCTTGATCTCTCAGATAAAAACCACCCACTCTACATCCAATATTTCCCCAAACAACAGCTAGAACTTCCCTCATACATTTACTACAATTCCTAATTTATTATTTAACTTGTGTCTATGACTTTACCATAATTCCAGTGTCTTAGGTGTAGTGTAACTAGTATTAGCACAGTAGCTGGCTCATAGCAAAAGCTAGGCAAACATTTATTAAGTGATAAAATTAATATTTTAAAAAAGAGAATTAGAGAATATGTACTCTTCACAGAAGTTATCAATTTAATTCCAGACAAGTATTCTTATATAAAACACATGAAAAATAAGATGGGGCTGTCAACTTTTCCATATTTAGAGGACATGGGTATTCCACTTGGAATGATGGATGTAAATAAAAATAGTAGGGAAAAAAATCTACCTCTGAACAAGAAACTTCTTGCATAACTACTGGTTCACAAACCAAATCAAACAGAACAGGCAGAAACACTAAGAAACAAATGAAAGTAAAATATTGCATTGATATTGTAATATGTCTATATATAACAACAATACTTTGGTCTGAGAAAAACAAATGCTTAAATATCCATATGAAGGTTTATATCCCTTTAATGACAATATAATCTAATTAGGGCCCACAGAGATTTTGGAACATGTACTGGTATAAGGCAAGATTGAGTTAACATGAGATTCAGCCCTCTCACCATTAGGCTGACAGGTACAGGGCCCAGATAAAGGTTGATTCTGTTCCAGGGTACAGTGACAGGCAAGAATATAAAATAAAATATGCAAAGGGAGTTTCTCCATAAAACTAAACTAAGGCAAATATACCTATTTTAGAAATAATATACAAAGAAACCTGGTATCATATAAAGGGACCAATAAAAAGCCACTGACAGTTAAGTATCTACAGGTGAATGCACAATTAAATGCCTCGTGATGGGTTTCTGGTCTCGTTAAAAACTATAATCCTGAAACTATGTTTTCATTTCTATTTTAGCTAGTATAAGTGGCTTTTATTTTGCCTAAACTGATTTTCATACAGCTCATCAAATTAAATTGCATTTATATACATAAAGGCTTCTGTGCCTCCTGCCTAAACAGTCCAATTATCAAATCGGCAGAGTGTATCTACAGATGGTCTTCTTCCTGAATTTCCTTGTATTTCATTAGGTTTGCAGTTTCAGGATAATAGTTTTCTGATTAAGATCATATCTCTCTGTTTAAGTGACTAACACTAATCATGCTAATGATAATACATGAGCACCTCAGAGAAAAGCTTCTTCAACAGTGTAGGAATTACTAGAAAAAAAAACAGATCTATTCACAAGGCTTTCTGTAAGTGCCACAAAGGAAAAGAAATAAAAGTAATGGGCAAGTATAAAAGAGATAAGAACCTCCTTTATATTCTACAACAGATTTTCTCTTAAAATAAACCAAAGCAATATAATCTGAAGTTATCTTCTAAGAACAATCCCAGGACTGGGTTGGCTTCTGAAAATTAAAATACCAATCTAGAATCTAGTCATCTTTCAACATCTTCTGATTGTTTTCCCCCTCAGGGACAAAAGGGATATGACAATTCTTTCAATAAGGTAATTATATATAAAGTACCCTTGTGTGGCAACTCTGGCAGCTGGAAATATTGGCAATGAAATAACTTATCTTCAACTTCGGATTTTCCTGAGGGCGTGAAACACTGTCTTGTGATTTTTAAAATTTAAGATTTATTTGTATTCTCTGGCATTGTGTAGATATAAATTATCTATACAACTGACAATGTTTTAGAAATTACATTTGAATAAACAGCTTGACTTAGAGAGAAGAGCTATAAATAATTAACAGAAATAGATTTCAATGATTTAGAATAAAAATGAGTTAACTCTTTTTGGACTTTAGTGTCTTTTGGTAAAATGTTCTAAACTAATTTGAAATCTTAGATATGGTGTCTGCAATTCTGGGGTTTTAAACCTCTAGCAAAAGCCTTACCTACCAATCCATGACAGGAAATACACAAAAAATATGGAAAACCACAGGTTATATTTTGGACTCTAGGTAAGTTCAGATTTATATGTGGCTTTCAAAATTTCCAAGATTTCTCCTCCAAAAGAAATAGTGGGTTTTAATAACATCTTTTCACCATGGTTTCATTTTTCAATAACTGTACACAAGTAAAATAATTTAAAGTATTTCTTATATTTTGACATTTTAAAAATGTTCATCAATTGCTACAAATGAAGAGTAGATCTAAAGTATAATATTTTCTTCAATTTTTAAAACAGTTGTAAAATTTAAGTATATTTTAACACTTCCCTTCCAAAAGATATCAATAATAATTTAACATTATTCACTTATATTGTTTCTTGAACACTTTCTATAGAAAACTTGCCATTGACCAACAAAAGCCATAATTGACAAATGGGATCTAATTAAACTAAAGAGCTTCTGCACAGCATAAGAAACTACCATCAGAGTGAACAAGCAACCAACAGAATGGGAGAAAATTTTTGCAACCTACTCATCTGACAAAGGGCTAATATCCAGAATCTACAATGAACTCAAACAAATTTACAAGAAAAAAACAAACAACCCCATCAAAAAGTGGGTGAAGGATATGAACAGACACTTCTCAAAAGAAGACATTTATGCAGACAGAAAACACATGAAAAAATGCTCATCATCACTGGCCATCAGAGAAATGCAAATCAAAACCACAATGAGATACCATCTCACACCAGTTAGAATGGTGATCATTAAAGAGTCAGGAAACAACAGGTGCTGGAGAGGATGTGGAGAAATAGGAACACTTTTACACTGTTGGTGGGACTGTAAACTAGTTCAACCATTGTGGAAGTCAGTGTGGTGATTCCTCAGGGATCTAGAACAAGAAATACCATTTGACCCAGCCATCCCGTTACTGGGTATATACCCAAAGGACTATAAATCATGCTGCTATAAAGACACATGCACACGTATGTTTATTGCAGCACTATTCCCAATAGCAAAGACTTGGAACCAACCCAAATGTCCAACAACGATAGACTGGATTAAGAAAATGTGGCACATATACACCATGGAATACTATGCAGCCATAAAAAAGGATGAGTTCATGTCCTTTGTAGGGACATGGATGAAGCTGGAAACCATCATTCTCAGCAAACTATCGCAAGGACAAAAAACCAAACACCACATGTTCTCACTCATAGGTGGGAATTGAACAATGAGAACACATGGACACAGGAAGGGGAACATCACACATCGGGGCCTGTTGTGGGGTGGGGGGAGGCGGGAGGGATAGCATTAGGAGATATACCTAATGTTAAATGACGAGTTAATGGGTGCAGCACACCAACACGCCACATGTATACATATGTAACAAACCTGCACGTTGTGCACAGGTACCCTAAGACTTAAAGTATAATAAAAAATAAATAAATAAAAAAATAAAAAGAAAAAAGAAAACTTGCCATTGACATTGTGCTTATGGATAAAGAAAATGATGCCTAATTTTCAGATGTCGTCATCTGTGCCTAAATGACTTCTTAGAAAGCTAAAGAAAGTAACTGTTGATTTTTAAACTCATTTCCATTCAAAATAAACCACCGCTTCCCGTGATTCATGAAGTTAGCCACTCCTGTAGTATCCAAGCAGCTGTTTCCAAAATAAAAATTAAAAAATTATCTTACAAAGTCTTGATGCATTACTTGCAAACAGGGCAAAGAAAGAGAAAACACACATGCATGCATACACACACACACAAATACACACAGAGAAATTAACCATGTTAAGCACTTTCTTAACTTCATGTAACTTAACTTGCACAATCCCAAATTCCTATAGCATGAACAAGGTGAAAATTCATTATCTTTTATGTGTAAAACTTCTGGAAAATCTTTTTTTTCCCCTAACAATATTTTTTAAAAAAAGGAAAGAAAAGGAAAAAAAGCACAAAGAACAAGAAAAAATGTTCATTAAAATTAACAATCTTCACTTTGTTTCCTTAATAATGCCTTCTACCCAGAGAATAAACAACAGGCTTCTTACTATTGAGTTATTTTTAAGAAAGAGAAAGTACTACATAGCATGCTTCCTACAGATTAGAGGTTCAAGCTTTTATTAAACAAAAAAAATATATTCTTCTTTGATTTTGATATTAAAAAACCACTTCCGTGTAAGGAATTAATCTGGATATAGTAGAGATGATAAGCAAATGCATTAGGTTGTGATTATTCTAAAAGGTCAAGTTTCTTCAGCTGCTACTGACAAAGATTAAAAGCTTGACAAAGATTAAAATAATTGACAAAGATTAAAAGCTAAATCCCTAAACTGATGCAAATATTACTGAAAAATCCCTTAGAAGCAAAGAGATGGAGACAATATACATGAAGATGAAGATTTCTTTAGTGAAAACATTTCATATAGAAAACCACCTGAAATATTAAACTTTGGGAATCACTCTTAAAGCAGCAAAATCTCTTCAAATTATTCCCAGAATTGGATTTAAATATTTCCCTTGAACCAAATAGTCAAGTCTTAATTGTAAAGCTTACACTTAAAGACTTCTATTTTGTCACGTCAGATATTTCCAATAGATTATGAATCCTGGGATTTAACAGTTGAATCCTGGGAATAGAAGCAGTAGTGGACAAGAGATTGTTTACAAAGCTTAAAACACACAAAAGACAGGACACTCAGAACTAAGGATGACTATCTGTAACTGTGCTCCACAAAATGTTTCAGGATCTTTCAATAATGAAAGCTATTACAAACTCCAAGTGCCATAAGAAAACACATAATGATCACTATATTTCATTGATTTTTTTTTTTGTAAACTGTAAACATGGCTAATACTGTAATTCAATTGAATTCACTGCCTGGCTTAAAGAAGAGTTGGAGCCATCAACTCCATAGGTCTCCACAAAATGTTACAGCATGTTTACTATTCCTTCATATTAACCAGCCATATTTCCTCTTCAGACATAATGAAGTTTATTCTGATGAAATTGACCATGTCAAAGTTTAAATTATTGCTATTCACTGAAATCCTTTAATTGCACCAATGTGTTTGTTACACATAGCCATTTGCCTGGTGGTTGGCACACAATAAGGAGTTTATAAATGTTAGCTATTTTATAGCCATCATCATCCTTACCATTCTGATTGAATATAACAGCCATTTGGTATATAATTTATATTATGTGTTGAGATATATTTTGTGAGTACTTCCTGTATTAGATATTTATTTATGAATTACAGTAAGACAATTTATTTGGCAGTTCATGACCCCACATTATAAGATATTTAATTATATAAATATGCCTAGAATAATATTAATAGCATACTGTATGAAATATAACATTTTTATATAAAAATTACATGAAAATTATTTTTCAATTGTTTATTAGATAATTTTGAGCCACCCAATTTTTTCAACTCTAAAATTCTATCTTGCCAGCTGTATGTCTGGGAATCTAACTTTATCTTAGGGTTAATTAAGTATGCCTCAATGACTGAATTCTGAATCAATAGAATGTGACATTACTGGATTTTAATTTGGATCCAAAAAAAATTACACATGTCTAAGAAAAGATATGCATTATAAAGTTCTGTGTTACAAAAAGAAATGTCCTCTAAGTGAAAGTTTGTGTAAGAAGAAAAACAAAGAATTTTTCTTCTTTGATCATCCTTATCTGTTGAAAAGAATTATGTCTCTTAAAAAATAACACCTACACATTCAGAAGAAGTGAAAGGATTTGTAACACAGTGTATCTAGGCCAAAAGTATCAGTTTTGGGATCATATTAATCTTTGTGACACTATAACAAAGAATTGCGAAGCAAAATAGACAGTGTAAGACTGGTCCCTCTAAAAGAGTAACATTAAAAATTGAGCATGCCAAGATGATCAAACATGATAATGTCAAAAGAAACACAGAATTACTTCTCTTTCTCCGAGAGAAAACCAGGTAAGATAGGAAGCATTTAATTGCTTTGTGATAGATGTGTATTTAAAAGAAACTTAGGAAACTTTTATTTATGCATTTAGTACATATTTATTGCACACCTCATATATATCAGCACAGAGTTTTGATAGCAGGGCTAGATTTGCTTTACCCTTGTAGTTAATAGTACCAATGTATTCATTAAATAGCTGAGTGCCTGCTGAGTGCCACTGGGTGTTGAAGGCACAGCAAAAGGCAGGATTTCTAAGCTCCTTAATAAATTATTAATTTATTAATTTATTAATTAATTAAGCTTAATTAATAAATAATTAAGCTTAATAATTTATTAATATGGTACGTGATAAAACAGGAGACTGAAATGGCCAATACACATTCAAAGATTTATTTAACTTCATTAGACATCAAGGAAGTGCCAGAGTCATCTGCATACACCATTTCACCAGATGGATGAAATTAAAAAAACACACAATACCAAGTCTTTGCAAGTATGTGGACTAATGGAAACTCTAAGACACTGCTGATGAGAATCTAAATTGCTAAAACCATTTGAAAAATCTGTTTGGAAGTAATGACTAAAGCTAAACATTTATATGTCCTCTGACCCTGCAAATGTACCCGTAAATGTGTTTGTGTGTGTGTATCATAAATACATGCATACGTCCACAAAACAAGAATGTTCAGAGCACTGCTGTTGTAATAGCCTAGAACTGACCATTCCATTGAAGGTAAAATTCATAATTAGTTGTGGTAGAGTCATATAGTGAAATGCTACAATACTACACAGCTATAAGAATGAACACTTACATGCAGCAATGTGAGTGGACATCACAAGCACAGTGTTAAATAAAAGAAGTTGAACTCTAAAGAATAGCTATTGTGTGATTCTATTTATATAAAAGTCAAAAATAGGAAAAATGTAGAAGAAGGTAATGAAGGAACAGGGGAAGAAGGGAAGGTTTTGGGGAGCCTGCTATGCTCTGTTTCTTGATCTGGGTGCTGGTCTCGAGCATAACTTCACTTTTTGATCTTTTGTTGCACTAGACACTTATGATCTGTGATCTTCTGTAAACATTTACCTTAAAAAGAAACAGGTAATTTCTAATTATGATATTGCCAGGAGAAGGCAATATGAAAGAGCATCACGTGGGATTAGAGTTTAAACAGGAAAGACAGAGGAGGCTTGTCTGCAATGGTGATATCTGAGCTGAGTAGAAGGAATAAGTAGAAGTTAGTGAGGTTAAAGGAGGGGAAAGAGAATTCCAGTGAGAAGTCCTTGAGACGGGAAAGTGCTGGGTGCATTCTGAAACTGAAAGAGAAAGCCAGTGTAGCTTGAACAATGTGAGCTAAGGGGAGGGTGGACAAAGGAGTTGGATTTATATAGGAGTGCCAGAGGAGGCAGGACCTCATTGAATAGCTTAAGAACCTTACATTTTATCCCATGCGCAGGGAAGGTTTTCAGGAATTATAGACAGAAGGATCATAAGATGTAATTTGCATTCATAAATGATCTCTCTGGCTGCTGAGAGAGGCAGTGCTACTCAGAGTGGACTAAGGACCAAAGACCAGTGCTAGGTCACGAACAGTTTGTTACTAATCTATGATAGGATAAGTACAGAAACAGAGTTCAAGAATTTAGAATCATTTATGTTAACTTGGTAGGACAAATGTATGTCTGATGAACCTAATAATAATAAATACATAATAAAAAATGGTTCTGGTAGCATTTTGTCTCATTTTATTTCATTTTCTTCTAGTAATTCATTTTTATCTTATAGTCTATGAATCATAAAAATAAAATAAAATAATTAAATGTCTTTTAACAAAAATAGTTCAAGTAGTACTGGCATAGAGACAGATTTGACAGAGCACAGAAATGGTGGGTAAGAAACCATATGAAGTAAATTGCAATATTCTAGGAGAGGGAAGATGACATATTTGATTGAGAGAAAATTTTGTCTGAAAAAAGCTCCAGTGTCAATAGTACTTCTAACTATATCAAATCAAGTTTAAAAGGTGAACAGGCTCTGATATGGTTTGGCTGTGTCCCCACCCAAAATCTCATCCTGAATTGTAATTCCCATAATCCCCACGTCAAGGGAGAGACCAGGTGAAGGTAACTGAATCACGGGGGTGGTTCCCCCATGCTTTTTCGTGATAGTGAGTGAGTTCTCACAGGATCTGATGGTTTTATAAGTGTTTGGTAGTTCCTCCTGCATTTATTCTCCCTCCTGCTGCCTTGTGAAGAAGGTACCTTCCTTCCCTTTTACCTTTGGTCATTGTTGTAAGTTTCCTGAGACCTCCCCAGTCTAGGGCAGTTCTTTATAGCAGTGTGAGAATGGACTAATACAGGCTCCAAACTGGCCTAGTACTTCCAACACCCACTATATTACTGCAAGATCTTTTCTAACAAGCCTGCAGTAGAAAACAATGCTTGAACACCCTAGTTCTTCTTAAGGAACTCTCCTGTCCAGAGGGTAATCCATCAAGCCTTTTGTCTCTCTCCGTCTTTCTCTCAAGACTTTTTAGAGGACCTCTTTGAACCAATACCATCAAATGACTTCCTAACAGACATAGGGGATAGATTTCCATAGTCTATTTATACTAAACACCATGACACATTCTGCAATGAAGAGAATAAAAGAAAGGATACATAACCTCTGTGGTAGTGGACTACATTCTTGATATGAGATGATGATGAGCATACTGTTGGAAAGTGAAGACAAGGGAAAATGTTCAAGATACTTCTGGTACTTTTCTATTGCATTTATTTGCTACAAGCCCTTACTACTTCATATATGGACAACTGTGATACCCAACCATTAGCATCCCATCTCAAGTTCTTTCACTTTTCAAGTTAGGTATATACCCCAGTGAAATTTACTTTGGGATTTAATCTTTCAGTCATTGCTTTGCTTGTGTCATTCCACTGTTCAAACCTTATCACTGACTCCTTGTTGTCTATACCATAAAAAGCAAACTCCTTAGACAAACATGCAAGGCCTTCCCCTAATTTCTTCAAAGTCTGGCTTCAACGGACTTTTCATAGATTATCTACCATGAATCACTTATATAATTCTTAATAATAGGTAGTATTAAGCAATGGTTGAAGGCACAGATACAGGAGCTCTTACTGTGTGGCCTTGGCAAATTAGTTGATCTCTCTGTGCCTCAGTCTTCTCATCTGTAAAATGGGACACCATTAATACCTACAGTACCAACCTCATAGAGTGTTGTGGGGATACAAAGAATTAATACCTGTAAAAAACCTAAAGAATGCTTGACATATAATAACCAATAATTATTAGCTACAATTTTTTCAGGTTAATCGACCAAATGGCTGCCAAGCAAGACACACAAGTCCTACCTTGTCATTTGACTCATGGCATTCTTCCTAAATATGGAAAACTCTTGTTCTATCCTCTCTCACCTCCTAATCCCTCTCTGACTTTTCCTGTAAGAGTCCTTTCAAGTACCATTTCCCCTTAAAGCTTAAAGCTCTTAGGCTACCAGAATACCAAGGAAGTCTTCTTGGTAGCGATTCTATGCCAATCACTCATTCTGTGTTCCTTTTGTTGTTGTTGTTTTGTTTTGTTGTTGCTTGTTTAATTAATATACAACTATCTTCCCATCTTGATTATAAGCTCTTTAAGGTACTTCCAATCAATAACAGGTTTTTTTTTCAACCTTCCGTAACAAAAGCCTATTATCATTTAAATATGTGTTTATGTACTTCATGAATCATGTTTGTAGCAAATTTCACTGTGAAAACTACCTTTTCTATAACTAACAAATGTTTGTTAACTATTTTTTTCTGAAATATGATTTCATAGAGTAAATCTATTGTTTCCCTTAGCTTCAATGCAATAGATCATGCAAATAAAACATCAAATCACCTAATTTTACATACAAATAACAATATTTTCATTTAACATTATATATTTTGTCAGGTATTCTATACTAAATTGCATCATACTCTAAATTATGAAAAATATTTATTTCCTTATCTAAGCAGCATAGTCAATTGCTCATCTAATGTTATAAGTCAAAGATTTATTGCTCTACTTTTACAGCAATACAAAATTGTTTAAAATATTTGAAACCACATAATGAATAATGTCTATTCTTTGGGGTGTGTTTGATATGAAGATAACAATGTATCACCTCTGAGTTGCTGATTATAAAATAAGTGATACATTCTTTTTAAGAACACTGTTATCTGCTTAAGAAAGAAGAGCAAAGCTGATTAAAAGTACTGTCTATAAAGCCATGGAACTGTGATGTGGCTGTAATAATTCATAGGCTTAAGAGGATCAGGCACCAAATCCACCCAACCCATGTCAGTCACCTTTCTCTCCTTTGTGACACTTTCTCAAGACATTGGGAAGAATAATGATTTTTAGAAAAGACTGGGAAAGTTTCCATTCCTATCTCTTTGTAGAAACACTAAAATCTGCTAGGAATACAACAGCATGTACTTACGAAAGCACAACCTCCCTAAACTTGCCTTGAAAAGTTCCCAGCATCAAGCTCAGTGAGCTGTGCCTTAAGCTTCTTCAGAATGCCTCACAGCTGGGGCTACTGGTAATTATTCCAAGCAGCTCTCCCCAAGAGGACTTCAAAGAGGCTCCGGTGCCATCCCCAGTGCTCTAGGAAGCTTCCAGCTCTTTTGGTCTTTTCACAAGACCATTTACAAGGCTTGGAAACATTGAAAATATCTTCCATCTTTTTAGTTCCTCTGCAATCAATCATGTTTTTGTTCAATTTCATAATTGGTCCAGTGCCATTCTCTGCACATCTGCTTTGCAGGCAAGCATGTAAATTCTGGCAGCTTTACCAGGGTTGTTCAAGTTCAATAACTAACCTTCTGTAGGAGGGTGAAGGTGAGCACACATGTCTTCAGATCCAATTCAAGCATTTACATGAACAGAATTTGAAACATTGCCTTGTAGACTTGGATTCTTTCTTGATTTATAGGCTATAAGAAACAGTCTAGAAAGATACAATTGCTTTGATCCATTGTGGCTAGATTTTCGAGATCTTACAACTTAAGAAACAATAATCTTTCGACTTCTGATTGATCTCGTAATAAATATATGGCAAGAAGGAATCGGATGTTACAGGAGAGCCTTTGGGGACTGCCCAACTGGAAAAATTTCAGGGATGTTGAAAAACTCTTGGATCCATACCATAATGCCTAAAACCTTGACCTTGAGATTCATCCATTCATTTAGTCCATCATTCAAAGAAAATTCACAGAATGTCTGAAGTTTCCCAGGCACAATGCTGAGAGCAAAAGAGATGCTGAAGATAGTAAGTTCAATAAAATACTAAAACCACTTCTGAGAAACCCATACATTTGTTGGGGGAAAAGAACATCAAAGAATAAATATATATCATAATACAAGAAAATGCTATGAAAGTGAGAGGTATAAAGATCTATTGACAATGGAGAAGAAAAGATAGTATTGCTTAGTGGATTGCAAAGGGCTTCCAGGAGTAGAGGATATTTGAGGATACAAAGGAGTTTGTCAGCTACAGAAGGCTGTGGCACAGAATACCAGTTAGACAGAAAACAACAAATAAAAGCAGAGAGGCCTGTCCATAGGAAAAGGGAGGAGTTTCACGAAACGATAGTAGAGGGTTTTTTTTTTTAATTGCACAAAGAAAGTAAGGATTTCAAACGGCTATTTTTGCTTCATGAAAAAAAACCTGGGTTTAACCAATTGAAAATATAATGCCAATAAAGGCCCCTAAGCAAAGGAGCAAAACAATGACAAGTTTTGCTGAGGGTAGAAAACAAGTGGAGTTATAGATAGCAGAGGCTGGAAGAAAGGAAAGTTTTCTCAAGAAGCTACTGTGCAGGCCCAGGTGAAAATGATAAAAGCTTAGGTGTCATTAAGGCATCATCTCTAGTTAAAGTTCGGATACTACGATGGAACAAACGTATATGGTTCAAATGGTGCAAGTGAATGTAAGGACCTTCTTTCCTGGAAATAAATGTTGCAGGGGAATAAGAAAGACAGAAAGGAGTTGCCAGGTGCCCAGGATGATTGAAAGGAAGAAAAGAAGGGCAAAAACCAGTATGTTAAGGCCCCAATTTGGAATTTTACCTAAAAGCAACTTTGGATCACAAATTAAAATGAATCAAAATAATGTTACAGGTGTTCCGATGAGATTTTTATAGCATAGAATGATGAGGAGAATGGGAACCACACTGAGAGCTTCAGACAGGAACACCAAATCCAGCTGTGCCGTGTGCAAGCTGCACAGTAAAAAGAGGTGGCCCTGTTTCCCTTCTCAGGAGTTTAGCACTCACAAGTCAAACACAAGTTCAAGTCTTAGAAATTTAAAATGGATATAACAGTGCTTAACACACTCAATGGTATAAGGATCTTTCCAGTCTTTTTTTGTAGGCTAACATAAAACAATGTTTATTAATAATAAAGTCTCAGTGATGTGGCAAAACCACGATGACCACCTAGTTGGAAAATCTGAGGGACTGTCTAGGGTGACACTTATACTTACAGGAGAGAAACTGAGAAATGGAAAAGTTGAGAAATCTTTGAGTGACAATGTGACACAAAGTCAGGGCCAAAATCCAGTTTAACACCTGCATCCTTTCCTGAAGCTATGAGGCTGCCTCCATCCACAGATTCTACTGTTACCCTACTCGATTTAATGATTTGTAATCATGAATTAAACTAACTTCTAGGAGGACAGGGACACTGAATAAATCTACAGTGTCACTTCACTAAGGCAAGGTGGTAATGTCCATTTACACTCTTTTTAAAATGTATTTGTTATTTTTATAGATTTAGGGGTTACAAATGCAGTTTTTTTATGTGGATACATTGCATCATGGTGAAGTCTGGGCTTTTAGGTAAACATGACCTGAATAAGATGCATTGTACCCACTAAGTAATTATCAGCCCTCAATCCACTTCCCTCCTCCCACCCTTCCACATCTTCAACATCTGTTATTCCACTCTCTATGTCCATGTGTGCACATTGTTTGGCTCCCACTTTTAAATGAGAATATGTGGTATTTGACTTTCAGTGTCTGAGTGATTTCACCTAAGGTAATGGCCTCTAGTTCCATCTATGTTGCGCAAAACACACAATTTCATTCTTGTTTTTTATGGTGGCACAGTATTCTATGGTGTATATAGGCACACCATGTTTTCTTTATCCAATCATTCACTGATGGACACATAGGTTGATTCCGTGACTTTGCTATTGTGAATGGTGCTGCAATAAACATACAACTGCAGGTGTCTTTTTTATATAATGATTTTGTTCCTTTGGGTAGATACCCAGTAGTGTGATTGCTAAATCAAATGGTAGCTTTATTTTTAATCCTTTGGGAAGTCGCCATAGTGTTTTCCACAGGAGTTACACGAATTTCCATTCCAACCAATAGTGTGTAAGTGTTCTCTTTTCTCTACATTTTCACCAACATCTATTGTTTTTTGACTTTTATTAATAACCATTTTCTGACTGGTGTAAGATGGTATCTCATTGTGATTTTAATTTGCATTTCTCTATGATTAGTGATATTTAGCTGTTTGAATTAGACATAAATTTGTCAAAAAACTAACTGCCCAGCAGATTTACAGGTGACCTATAGAAACTTGTAAATGCTTCTTATGCATCAAAAAATTAGCACCATTGCTTTGTGAGATAGTAAGATATAGTGTTTCATTAGGTATATACAGAGGTAGCACCTTGCAGATCTGATTCAATAACATGCCTAAATGTTTAGCTCTGAACTGCAATTAATTTTCCTGCTTTAACAGCTGCATTCTGACTATGCAGAGTGTTAGCTAAATAAACGTGACAACTACCAAAGATTTTCATTTTAGCAGTACAGATAGTGACCACAGAGAATGCAGAGGTATAACATTACAGAAATAAAAGAAAGTGTAGTTGGTAGTCTGGCGATAGTTAAAAAGTTTCTGATTTGTGAAACTCTTTCTTCTGGTAATAAACAGCACTTAATGGAAAGTGCTACACTGACACTTCAATGTGGGAACTATTTCTATTTATTATTATTATTATTACTATACTTTAAGTTTTAGGGTACATGTGCACAATGTGCAGGTTAGTTACATATGTATACATGTGCCATGCTGGTGTGCTGCACCCATTAACTCGTCATTTAGCATTAGGTATATCTCCTAATGCTATCCCTCCCCCCTCCCCCCACCCCACAACAGTCCCCAGAGTGTGATGTTCCAATGTGGGAACTATTTCTAAAGAAAAGGAAAATGCCTTTTATGCTGCATTGCATTATGAATTTCAAGGTAAAAAATAGAATAAAAAGATTTTAATATATACACTAAAAAAAATCCTCTGCTTTGTGCTCTGAGCTATTCATCTCAAAGATTCCACAGACCTTCAGCCCCACTCTGGTCTCCAGAAGTTGAGAGAAGCACTGTGCCTCCAGCACTGTTTCAAACAACATTGGCCTGGAGCTGCAGGGGTTAGGGGAGTGCTGGGAGAAGAAAGTGTAAACAAAGAGCCATGAATGATTATCCACCCTTTCCCACTCTGGAGTTATGGTTGCATTGCCTGCTATCAGTATCATAGAAATAAGAGAGGAGACTGGGCACTATGGCTCACGCCTGTAATCCCAGCATTTCAGGAGGTCAAGGTGGACAGGTCGCTTGAGCCCAGGAGTTCAAGACCAGCCTGGGCAGCATGGTGAAACCCCATCTCTACAGAAAATTTTTAAAAAATTAGCCAGGTGAGGTGGGGTGCACCTGTAGTCCCAGCTACTTGGGAGGCTTAGGCTGGAGGATACCTTGAGTCCCAGAGGTAGAGGCTGCAGTGAGCTGTGATCATGCCACTGCATTCCAGCCTAGGTGACAGAGCAAGATCCTGTCTCCAAAAAAAAAAACCCAGAAAAAACAAGGAAAAGAAGAAGAAGAAGAAAGAAAGAAAGAATAGAGGAATCGATGCTAAAAGCAACAGTGAACTTTGTTTCTCAACTCCCTCCCACATACCACTTAGGCATCCTAACATGATGATAACTACAGCAATGGTCATGCCTTCTTCCAGAATTGTGCCCAACCTTCGATAGGATCAGGGATTTTCTGTGATTCCTTTGATTCTTGAAAGAATGAAAAACAGCATGCTTTTATTCAGCTGTATACTGTGGTGAATTCTTGGTGTATGTGAATTTCTGTGATGTTTCAAAATGCCTTCAACAATATCTTCTGCCTTTTCAGTCTCCAGTGATATTTTGACACCTAGTGTAACTCAACTATCACAACTGATTTTTTAAAATTTACAAGCATAAATAGTTTAACAAATATGGATGTGGAAATAGCTAGAAACTGGTTAACATAGTTGCTTGTGGAGACTGACTCCAAAAATTAACTTGCCTTATATTATGTGAAAAATATGACATAGGTTTACCTAATGACAGTAATTTTTTATTCTTTTATTATTCTTGAATTTTATCAATAGAATGCAAATATTAAAAAATAATACGTGTTACTAGCCTTTGTTGAACTGTGGCAAAACTATTATAACTAATATATTATTTATTAGAGTTTATAAAATCTTTTTAACCACCAACAGAACAAAACCTTTAACATGTCTACTTCCTCTTCAAGTGAATAACTTTGGAAAATTTTATTATTTTTTAAAAACAATTCATAAACTTGTATGTGTGCATCAAGCAATTAGCTACAGAAAATATTTTTGAGCATATCTTGACTATATATAAACCATAGAATCTCTTATTGTTTTTATTTTTTATTTCAGTTATATATCAGTAAATTCAAAGCATTTAGTAATGTGTCAGATTGTGCATAAGTCATACGGATAATTTTATAATATATGAACTAGTTTGTACCCTTTACACTGTTAACAAACTTACTTGTTGCACCAGGTTTAAATCAGCATGACCATTTGAAATTCAAAAATTGAGCCATTAAATTTGTTCAATGAACAAATCTTTGATCACAAAACAGAAAATAAATTATTATCTTTACTTTAAAAATCTGTTTTAAAATATGCATCTGCACATTTTAAATTGATAGATTTCTTCTCAATTTCCAATTAGCTAAAAACTGCTTAAAGTTGATTGATATCATAATGACAGAGAAACTAAAATAATGATAAGCATCAAATATTTCTAACTTTAATGATTACATAGGGATCTTTTACAACACACACCATATGCACAAGAAAAAACACACTTCTTGTTTAACTAGATATTAAAGTCACACAAATATCTATTCACTCAAAAAGCCGATAGCATCACTGAACAACTAAGCAAGAGCAATTTATTTCTAATAATCTTCTTTCTAAAATATTTCATGCTATTTAACACACAACATTCTAGAAATATGCACCTCATCTAACCCATTTCTTAACTGCAAATGTGGTCACATTGATCCATTCTACAACTATAGCATATATACATAAAATCAATGTACCCTGGTATAAAAGACACATTGAAAAATCTATATCATTGAGACAAATTTCAAGCTCTAGTCATTAACTGCTAATATATGCAAATGAAAGTGAATAATAATACCGCAGCTAGTTAAATTTCATTTGAATTTCTGTGGTTGACCTCCTTACTTTTTATCTTACAGGGTTTAAATAAGGTTAATCTGACATATATTAGTAACAGTACTATGTAGGTGTCTAGATGCACTTGATTTTCAACCATAGTTTTATAAAATTACCTCTTTAAAAAAAACAGTAGGTTTGTAACCAAATTGTTGTATGACAATATAAAAAATTCTTTTTCTTTTCTAATGTAACATTAATGAAGCATACATAATATTGTCATCTAGCTAGAATAAGTTATTTTTTAAATTGCCAATACGTATTTCTGTTGTGTCTATGTGTTTGTGTGGGTGTAACAATATATGTATTCAGTTCCATCAGTTCTTCTAATAATATCAAATGTAGGAATTTATTTTCCATTGGTAACTGGACAACTTAATATGTTTTTGAGATAATGCAGAAAGTAATAGGGACAATCTTCTGTTTAAAGTATGTTGCCCTTTAGATCATACTGTGCACATTCTAACTTTAGAAGCTACAGCATGTGAATGTTTCCACTAGACAAATTGTCAAGATGAACTGGATAGCAACAGCAAAAGTAGGTCTGCACTTTCTCGGCAACAAAACTGGAAGAATAAAAATCTTGATACAAGAGACCTCTTTAGATATAAATCAAAGTTTTTTTTTTGGCAAAAGATAACTCTTCTTTTTTTTCTAAATTTTGTAGTCGGCTAATTTATAAATGTTGTGTTCTTTTTTCCCAAAACAGCAAACTATTGGGTCTTCTATATTCTTCACTCTTACTCTATGTCGATTCATTAAAAATTCAACTTTGTTTAGTGCACAGAGGATGAATGAAAAGCTAAAACTTTATTTAAAATTTAATATAGAAAATCTGCCTCCATTCTGATAGTTTATATAAGTATTCAGAGAGATAGCACTAGTGATTATATAGCCTAGAGTGAACAGAATTTTTAAAAACAATAGTGGAGTCAAGTAAACCTTCCAAATTCCTATTTATAGCTTCACTAATCCATTGGAAATAAACTCACTGATAAAAGTAACTTAACCATTTTTGGCAACAAAAAGTAATATTATCTTAACCAGTTAATAAAATGTCAAAAGGACAGAGATGGCAGATGGCAGGGACATAAAATTTCATTAACATAACCCAATTTTACTAGCATATAGGTGCTCACTTTATCACCCCCGAATACAACAATACAGTTAAAACATACAAAGAGTTCTCACCAGGTTTTCACAACAAAGAGAAAAAAAGGTATTTCTCTTTTTCTTTCATATAAAAGATAATGACAGGAACAAGGTAGCCATATTACACCAAGAAATATTAAAAGTATTGTATAATTTATTCCAAACTCTACATATAAAATATTAATTACAAATTTAAAATATAATCATAGTTCCTCATCAGAAATGTTCCTCAACAGAGATTTATCATCCTTTTTTGAAATGTTATAATAATTAATCCTTTAATAATCAAGCAAGTGACATCATAGTTCATGGGAAACACAGGTTATTAAAACAGAGGTATTCATTAACACATTTGAAAACTTCAGGCATTTTATTCTTTCATCACAATATCTAACGAATTATATAGAATCATAATAGAGTTTTACTTCTTTTTGGAGGCAGCGTCTTGCTCTGTTGCCTAGGCTAGAGAGCAGTGGCCTACACACAGCTCACCACAGCCTTGACCTCCTGGGTTTAACATCGAGTGATCCACCCACCTCAGCCTCCTGAGTAGCTGGGACCATAGGTATGTGCCACCATGCCCAGCTAATTTTTTTGTTTTGTTTTTTGGTAGAGATGAAGTCTCACAATGTTGCCCAGTCAGGTCTCGAACTCCTAAGCTCACGTGATGCTCCTGCCTCAGCCACCAAAAGTGCTGGGATTATAGGCATGAGCCACCTCTCCCAGTGACTTTTACATTTTTTGTAAGAAAGTAAAAATGATAATGCCTTTACTGCTACTAAGAATGTATATTCTAATAAGCACCACACCAAGGTAAAGTGGTAAATTTGAAAACTTAAAATATCCCAATCTTTCTTGCATGGATCATATACATGTTTTATCATTGTCTTACCTCCATGATTTTGTCATGAATCTCCAGGCCATCTGCTCTGTCAGCAGGTCCATTTTCTAAAATTTTTGAAACGTAAATTCCTTCAGTCGATGTTCCTTCCTGATTATTCTATTTTTAAAAAATCATTAGCAGAAGAAAGATGTAAGCAAAATTTAAATATTATTAGGGACAATTTACCAAATGTAACATTACCAATCCTCTGTAAACCTGCAACTCTCTTAGCTGGGGATTTGGAACAGAATTTTAACTTACTTAACACCAACTAGTCATTAATCAAGGTGGCAGTTTTAATGAATGAGTCCAGGGTCTCTGACAAGATTATCTATTTACTTCACATTTTTGAGTTCACATAAAAAAGCTATGGGAAAGGGCATGTACAAGGTGAAATAAACTGGCTTTTAAGTATTATTTATAAAACATCTCACTTCTAAAGAGAGACAGCAAGTAAAAGGGTGATAAGGTTAAAGAAGGAAAAAAACATATATCTGGTTCCCACTGTATAACTGGTTTGAGATGTGGTAGAGTTTAGAAATGTAATTTAGCTTTTTGATGTGCCAGATTTAGAAACATAGCTCTAGTTGTGTCTATTCACAAGAGACACTGGTAGCTTACTCAAGTGTAAAATCCCAAAAGATCACATCTAAACTGCAAGGGAACCTATGCAAAAGGGAACCCATGCAAACTCATCGTTACATATTTCCAGGTGCAGTCTGACTCATGATTAGTTAAACCTCAAACATAGCCAATATGGTAAAAATAGGACATTTTAGCCAGTCACAAGAAGTCAAAGCTTATTTAGGGGAAAATATCCAACATCCTATAATAATACATTATATAATTTTAAATGTCATTTGACTTCATGACAGGTTAAATAAAATTATTTCTCTTTAGCTGTCCTTATCATGAATTTTAAGAGACTTTTTAAAAAGGCCCGATGTCATCTAAATGTCAAATACCAAAATAGAATCTATAAAAATATTCCTTAGGGAAAATGATAACGAAAATGCTATGATGAAAAGGCTTTCATCTTAATAAATGAGGACTGTTTTAAAAAGAGAAGCACAGCAGTCATTAGTTGCTAAGTTTTCAAAATACTAAAAACAAGGAAGAAATATGTCACTGCCATCCTTACCTAAACAGAGCATATGGCCAACAACACTAAGACAGTTTCCTTGTACAACATCTGCAATGCAGGATGCAAAAATTTCATGGCAGTTTATTGAGAAAAATTAAAGAACATCATTTTTTAAAACTTAACCACCTTTTTCCAGTTACGGTGAAAATTAAGTTGACACAGGAATTCAAAGATATAAAAGAACTTTGCAACTACAGTATATTCTATAAGTTTAAAATATGCATTTTGAAAACAATTGACATCAACATGAAGAATATTATTCATGCAATCAAACAAAGAACTCGGTTTGGGGAGCCAAAAATATTTCTAATCAACTGTTTTTCTTTAACATGGTACTTCCTATTGAAATCAATCATCCCTTGTTTCAACTGTTCATTCATTCATTCAATATAATTTTCTTCCTAGTCTGTATTAGCATCTTCAAACTGAGTAATTGCACTTAATAAATAGGTTTAAGCAGGCAATACAATTGCCTAATATTATCAAATAGAAATTGCCTACACATGGTATTGTGAAATAGGTTTATTCAAGAAATTTGCCAAAAGGACAATAAAATTTAGATAAAATGTGAAATGTACTTTCCTTTTCTTCTTTTAAAGTAGCAAAGAGAACCAAGTTTGCTAGCTGTTGTTTTTTGTTTTTCTCAAAAATAAAGGCCAGGTGCAGTGGCTCAAGCCTGTAATCCCAGCACTTTGGGAGGTGAGGGAGGTGGATCACTTGAGATTAGGAGTTCGAGACCAGCTTTGCCAACATTTTGTATTTTCTCTGCTACAAATACAAAAATTAGCTGGGCGTGGTGGCACACGCCTATAATCCCAGCTACTTGGGTGGTTGAGGCAGGAGAATCAATTGAACCAGAGGCAGTGGTTGCATTGAGCTGAGATCACGCTACTGCACTCCAGCCTGGGCTGCAGAGTGATACTCCAACTCAAAAAGAAAATAATTTTTAAAAATTAAAAAATAATAAAATCAGAGCCAGGCATGGTGGCTCACACCTGTAATCCTAGCACTTTGGGAGACCGTGAGGTGGATCACTTGGGGTGAGGAGTTCAAAACGAGCCTGGCCAACATGTGAAACCCTGTCTCTACTAAAAATACAAAAAATTAGCCGGGTGTGGTGGCAGGAGCCTGTAATCCCAGCTATTTGGGAGGCTGAGGCAGGAGAATTGCTTGAACCCAGGAGGAAGAGGTTGCAGTGAGCTGAGATCGTGCCACTGCACTCTAGCCTGGGCAACAGAGCAAGACTCTGTCTCAAACAAACAAACAAAATAAATAAATAAATAAATAAATAAATAAATAAATAAATAAAATCTGGGTATGTACTGGAATATTTGCATTAAGAAATCTGATATTTGATCACAAGTATAATTTTAAAGATTAAACCACTTGTTTTTCTTACTCAAAATCCACAAACAAAAGCTAAGTCCTCTATTATTTTATAAGCAATGAGTAATGCTTATTAATGCTTATTTTATAAGTAACGAGTAATGCATTAACAAGGTGTTTTACCTGATTTGGTCGACCTCCTATAATATTGAATCCCAAAGTGTCATTTTCTCTTTCTAACACAATAGTGAATGGCTTATGCTCTCCATCCTAGAAAAAAATGTATAAAATGACTTAACCAGGTAAAAATATAAAAGAAAAATAAATCCTACAATAAGTTTTTATGTACTGTAAGTTAACTGACATGTGAAAAGAGGAAAACTTTAAAATTAAGGATGGTTGAATGTGGCAGAAGGTTGACATTTTCCTATACTTACTTTGCAAGTATGTATTTGAAAAAGAACAACTGTGCATGTGAGGGGAAAAAGCCCTATTTTCAAAAATTACTAAATGGCTTTGCATTTTGAGACAGGAAGCTCTTTTATCCTAATGCAGTATCTAAATCTGATTTCACTGCAATTGAAAACAGATTTCTGGTTAAACCTTGGAGGTATCTTTATTTTTCCCTCCATTACAGAAAAGTAAAATATAAATTATCAATAGTGTAAAATTTTTATTTTGTAAAGTCTTAAGGAATTTAAGAAACACTGGAACTATTTATAAATTATAGTCATAACATTCATGTTGCTGTTGTAATGCAGGATCTGTTAGGCTACTGTAGTCCTAATTTTAAATAATATTCCTATTTGGTTTTGCATAATTCCTGCAGAATAAAAAAATAAGGGTTTGTGCTAGGTAAAGTAGTATGTATTTTTTCCTGCTGGCCAAATAATAGTAAAACAAATATGAATTATAGCTACAATGTTTATTAGTAAAGACTAACTTACACATAGGATGAATTAGTGCTGGACTAGGTGGGTTTATTCATGGTTGTAGATGTTATTAACCTTTACTTGGAAACTATTTCTGAATGATAACATTCAGAACATATGCATCATCATCACTGCTATCAGCATCAAGATATTTTCCCAGGAGCTTTTCCCAGGCAATGCGCAGAGCAGCCCCTACTGGTAGTAGAAAAACACTTCTGAGGAACACATAGAAGGTTTTGGCTAGTCTGCAAATCATGGGCAGTTTTTCTCACTTCTCAGAATCATAGCTTGACTTGTTGCATGGACTTTTCTGTAATATTATTCTAGCTGTTCCTCCTTTCCTTCAACCATTGGTTTCCTACGACCTTGAAACCTGGACTGGTAATACAAAGCTTCTATCTGTGCTTTTCCCCGGGTCCTCCCGTTTTGTAAATTTACCTGTATATATGCGTATATGTATATGCATATATGAACTAGAGAAATACTCCTTGAAACCGGTCGTTTAATACACAACGTGCTTCCATTCATCAAGGTAGAAACATTTTAGTCCCTCTCACTTCAATTTTCTCTTTTACGTTCAAGACGGGCGCTTCTAAACTCAGTGCCTGAGTTAGAGGCAGTGTGGAGCAGCCAGTCCCAAATGGGAATCTTTCTGGGTTGCTCCTCCCCGGGAGTGCTGAAGAATGAAAACAGCTCCTTGAATGGTGCGCAAATTCTGCTAAATCCCTGCTCACCATGGCAGCGACCAACAATGTCAGACACTGTGCAGAAGTCCTCCAGGAGAGAAGTAACAGCTTTATAAACAAGCCTCTTCACACGGGATGCTGCAAAGAGGCTTGTTTATTCGGTATGAAAGCCGGCGGGAGGACCAGGAGCGCAGTTCGGGGCCAGCAGCTTAGACAAAGAAGGGAAACAACCGCTGCCTGGGGGCTCGCAGGGCCGGTCTGACCACAGATGGAGGTTCTCGGACTGGACTTCCCAGGTCGCACACACACAATCTCAATCTCTCTCTCTCTCTCCACCAATAATGAGATCCCGAGGCAAGGAAGGCTTATTTAGGGAAAGTCAGAGTGATGAAATGAACTCTGCAAGTCTAAGAAACCCCATCTCTCAACTCCTGAGGCTGTCCTGGCCCCAACGTGCCTCACAGTCCCCAACTTAATAGAAGGCAGTTGATTCAGGCAGTGGCAGCGCAAGTGTCATCAACGCTGACACCAGTCCCAGGTGTGCGTGCGCGGCTGCCAGGGCCGCGGGGATGCTGGTGGCCGCGGGAGAGGAAAGGCTGGGCCGGGAAAGTCTTCGCTTTCTGTCTTTCCTTCTCGGATTTGCTTCAGGCACGGGACAAGTGCTCAAAAAATAGGCAGAGACGGTGGGCAGGAGGGTGAAAGATGGAAAACGAGAGTCTGGATGGAAAATGAGTTTTCACAATTCCTACTTTCCCGGGGGAAAGTTAGAATCGAATCTGTTTAACTCTTTCCAATCGTAATATAATCAGAAAAGGGACAATCCTTAACTTCGACGCCAATCCATTCGTAAGATAATGACAGGAAAGTATGATCAGGGTGTGGATGTTTCCTGCTGCATAGTGAGGAAGGATGCCCAATTCCAAAGGAATCCTGAAGCGTCAGAAAGAACCGCTCCTTTTCCCACCCCAATCGACCATGCCCGCGGTGCCCACCCCCCTTTGCTTACCCTGCGGTGGCCGCCACCGAGGTCGCCGACGAAGTTGCGGACGTGAGCCATGTATTGGGTGAACTTCTCCTGGTACCTGCGCGCCGTGAGCTGCACCTCGCCCTGCAGCGCCCAGAGCTGCGCCAGCAGCGCCTTCTCGCGCCGCCTCCAGGCGAGGACCCGAGGCCCGGGTCCCCGCCCGCGGCCCCAGCGGCCGCCCGGCGGCCCCCCGCGCGCGCCCCCGCCCCGGCCAGCCCTGGGTGTCGGACCGCAGCCCCCCCGCGCGGGCACCTCACCACCGCCCAGCCCCGAAGCGCAGCCCCCGCGGCTGCGGAGCCGGCGGGCAGGGCCGAAGTCGCAGTGCTCGACGTGCGCCTCCAGCTCGTGCAGCCTGACCGAGTGGCCGCAGCCGCGGGCGCGGTAGTCGCACTGGACTCGCAGCTTCTGGATGAGGCTGCGCAGCGGCAGCACCCGGTACAGCTCGCCGGGCGCCAAGGGCTGGCACTGCAGCGGGCACCGGCGCCTCCGCACCGCCCAGGGCAACAGGCAGCTGGCGCAGAAGACGTGCCCGCACGGCGTGCACAGGGGCTCTTCAAGCACCTGGCCGCACAGTTTGCACTCCAGAGCCGGGTCCACGGCTTCTGCGAAGCGCTCCAGGGCAAAGCCCATGTTAGGGATGGGGAAGAAAGGGGGAGCGAAAGCAGAGTCCGTCTTCTCCGAGCCCCCCTGCCTTCCCCGGGCCACCCCCGGGGCAGCCGTCTCGCGGCGGCGGCAGTGGAGGGAGGTGGCGGGTGGGAGGTGTGATCTCACTGTTTGTTTGGCTTGAAGTTTTCAGGCTCCTGCTAGGTCCCCTGATTTCGCCCGTATTGACGCTAATAGAAGTAACCTCCAGAGACCCCCGCCTCCTTCGTTGCCCTGCGATTTATGTTCTTTCAAATTTTGGCCGCCCAGCTTACAATGGTCCTTGGGAACACTGTGTTCTCCTTCGCCTGAACAGTGA
Organism: Homo sapiens; assembly: GCF_000001405.40. Taxonomy (NCBI): domain Eukaryota; kingdom Metazoa; phylum Chordata; class Mammalia; order Primates; family Hominidae; genus Homo; species Homo sapiens. The sequence goes on along the minus strand of NC_000012.12, from coordinate 41,188,124 downwards.
ACTTCAAGCATCGAGGCGCCTCGCCCTGGGCAGGGCTGCTGATGGGTAAAGCGCTAATGTTGAGAAACAACTTTTAAATTCACCACAATGTAAGCTTCGGGAGAGCAGAATCTTTTTGTCTGTCTGGTTTTCCGCTGAATGCCCATGGCCCGCCCGGCGTCGAGTCTATCTCCAATATGTTTGAAATCGAAGCACTTTTGTTCTTTCACATCAAAACTACAAAATCAGAAGTTAGGAAACTGTGACCTTAGGAAATCACTATAAGGAAAATAACACTAGGAAATCCACAGGGCCAGGCTTCTCAAACCGTGATCCAGAAATCAGGTGAGTTAGAATGGCGCGATCCTTGACCTAGCAGCAAAGATGGGGAAAAAGTCAAGGGCCCGCCTCAGGACACTGCCTTCTTAGGGAGCCCATGAACAGCCATGCAAGGCCTCCTCCCGAGTGAGGAAGCTGGGATTCTGAGTCTGACTCCAGGTTCAGTTGCCACAGCATCCATCTTCTACTTCCACGGGCGTTTTACTACTGGGGACGGGAATGTGATCATTTGGGAACCTGGAAGGGAAAATTAAAGGGAAGGATGATGAAAGAAAGCAGTGAAATAACATATAAATAAAATCTTAGTGGCTGCTTCCTTCTACTTACCCTGAATGAACCCTTTGGATCCAAATTGCCTCCCCTCCTAGTTTGACTCCTCAAATTGTGTAGCATGACAAGCCGTCCTGAAAACACGCAGTAGGGCGTCATTCCAAACCCTTCTTACTCCACTTCCTTTACCATCTTCTGAACCTTAGGAATGCAGAGATCCTGTCACCTGGCTGCATATCACTTACTGCCATTATCCTGAAGCTGCCACCAGATGCTTGGGTGGGTTTTATAAATTAATCATTGATGATTCCTTGCTGCCAGTTGAGCCTTGTTCCTGGAAAGCTTGTAATTCTCTATGACACCAAATGGCATCAGTTGGAATTGATGAGAACAGCTCCAGACTTTGTCTTTTAAATCCTTGGAGCTAACTGAAGAATTAGCAAAGACTAATAATAGAGGCTAATAACCTTCTGAGCCTTCTTGCTGTTTGAAAGATGAGATTTTGTTAGTTGTTCAATAACCAGTGATGATTGGTGTGCTAGATGTTTGATATGCTTTTAAACTCTTTTTCAAAATAAGATGCTATATTTCTCATTTAATATATATAGATTCATATGTGATAAAGTAACATTTGCCCCTATGTTCCAAATTTCCCCCCTCTTTCGACCTGTCTTTCTACAAATAAATAAGCAAACAATGAATTACTGATTAAATAAGAAATCATTTAATATTAACAGCATGAAAATATTTTTGTGAATTGCATAAACTGGAAATACATGTTCTAGAATTTATTAAAATACTTCTGGGCAGGAGAAATCTATTCCTTTTTTTAGCTATAGAAAAAGTTGTGACTTACAGCTATAAACATTTATAATTATAACCATGCATATACAGTTATAGCTATAGCTTGACATTTATTGGTTTTACAGTAAACACAATGACACTGACAGCATTTTTAAAAAGAGAGAGAAGAGATGGAATCCAAAAATATTATTTTGAGACATGAGACTGTTAGGACCATGAGACTTCAGTTACTTGGAAAAAAAAAAAGTTCATATGATATCCTTGGTATACCCATGCAATTCCTATAGCAAAAGTAAGGAGCATGAGCAAATTATGTTATGACTAATTCCAGGATGCATAACATTTTTATTATTAAAGTAAAGCAGATGTCAAAAACGTTGTCCACAGAGAATAGGAAGTTCCAAAATGAGGGCATGTAAAGTGAAACTGAGTAATGAAATAGGCCAAACAGAACAGGAAAATCTTTTACGTAATAAAATAAAAGCCTAAGCATTTCCAAAAGAGCTAAGTATAAAGAAAAAACATGACAAGAATTGAACTCTAAGAGAATGGACACACCCAAGTGAACCTCATAAACTTTTGCCATCTGGAAACATTGTGGCATAAGTCTGTGACATCAGTTGAGTCAGATAGTCTCGTTTCACTTCCCAGACTGTAAAATATTTTTCTACATATTAGCAAAATTGTAATATCAGTGAAAAGCTTGAGTGAGCTAGGAATATGGAGCCTAATTAAATGGAAGTAATTAGCTTGGGTAAACAAAGAAAGCACTTTAAATGAGTTTAATATATGCACAAATATTTCAGCAAAACAGACCCAGTAATATTTAGATGCTTTTTGGCAAATTAGACAAATTAACACCTTGCATCTTTAGCTTGGGCATACTCTTATGTTTTCACTGATCATAATTGTCTATCATCTAAACATCCCTGGATAGTGAAAATTGCAGGCTGAATACTAACACTTGGGGAAGAGCTGAAAGGAAACCCACTGTCTTCTTGTTGGGCAAGGCCAACTTCTAGCTGTGTTGTGCGTTGTAGCCAAAACCAAGCCTTTTACATTTCTCATAACCTTTTGTTCAGCCTGGAGCTGAGATTGTGCTTTGCCAGCCAAGAAACAAAGGAAAGACTATGAATTCACTTAGCTTATTTCCAAGCCAAGAATCATGGCTTGATTCAAGTTATCTTTAAGCAGCAGTTTGGGAGGCCGAGGCAGGTGGATCACTTGAGGCTGAGACTTCGAAACCAGCCTGGCCAACTTGGTGAAACCCCATCTCTACTAAAAATTTATTAAAAATAATTAGCCAGGCATGGTGGCAGGTGCCTGTAATCCCAGCTACTCAGGAGGCTGAGGCAGGAGAATCGCTTGAACCTGGGAGGCGGAGGTTGCAGTGAGCCGAGATCACATCATTGCACTCCAGCCTGGGCAACAAGAGTGAAACTCCACCTCAAGGAAAAAATAAATAAATAAAATAAAATCTTTAAGCAATCAGTAGTTGGTTGAGTATTTTCAGCTTAGTAACTAGTTTTTGCTTTCATCTGCTATCAGCAGTCATATATTCATGAAAAGAGATTAAAACATTAAGTTGCTAAATTATTTGGGCCAATTCCTAGTGCAGTAATGAAACTGGGATGTGCCTTGGGTGTTTCCAGTGAGAAGAGGCAGGGTTCCATCCCAGCTCTGAGTCATGCCTACTTCCAAGAATGAATCTAGGAGTATTGGTTGTTGAGTCAAATGCTAAAAGTCCCAAAATAAAATACTGTATTCTAAGACTCAAAAATGATGAATGGAGAGGTAAAATGTGAAAGAGAAAGATTTTTTTCACCTCATGCACAGATAATGCTTTGTCAAAACCAACTCATTTGTGACTCTTTTTCATGTTTTATTTATTTAATTAAGGGCCATGAAGTTGGAAAGGTTGGGGGAATTTTTCAAAGAATAGGACCTTAAACATTTATTTTATATGTGTTCATATAGCATAAGTTAGTACTTTATATATAACAATAGTTTTTCAATTCTCTATTATATAAACTTTCTCATAAAGAAAATTTCATCATCTATGTTTTTCTTTTCTCAATTCCCTGGTCATTTATCATAAATTAGTACTATTTCTATAATTATCCCAAGTGCTCTAAATGTAATCTGTAACTATACTAAATTACTCTGGTAGCTGAGGCAAAAGTACTTAGCCACTTTAGGTCAAAATATTTCCTGTGGAATACATTCATTTGTGTTGAAGTTAATGGACTTTGTTCTTATCTTGATAATTTTTCCATCATAATGTGGGATCAGATTTGCACCTAGTAGCATAAATGACTATGTTTGTAATGCATGAGATAATAACGAGGTCACTTTGACAGTACAGAAAAATTCCAAACTTGATAAGAACAATAAAAGATACTTTGAAGTTGAGTTAGTTGAAAGTTTATTAAAAATGAGGCAGATTTTTTTTATTTTACAAAAGTAGGCTGATAATATATTATGTTAGAGAAGTGATACATTTTGGATATGTTTCACTCCAAATTATACATAATCAGTTAAATCCTGAGAACACAGAGCAGTATCAATTCTTATAATTCCTGTCTGTTGACACATAATCCATTAGGAGTTATTTGCTATTATCTTGCTTTCCTGCTGTCTTTGGCAAAATGTAGTTGGAAGGGGTATTATGACAGTACAGAATGCCATTTTTAAGGGGAATAAAGTAATATGAATAAAACAATTATGTACACCAAAATTGAGTAAATAATTTACAATAATTGTGCAGTCTCTGCAGGAATGAATTATCAGACACAGCAGAATGAGGAATTTGAAGAAAATCAAATTAAAGTGAGGTATTAAATTAAAAATTGTGGCAACTTAAAATTAGATTACAGACTGATTCTTCCAAAGTCACCCAGACATTAGGAAGGGTACTATTATTCTTTTTAAGAAGGGACTATTGTGAGAGATGGTTTATAGAGAAAAATAGATTAAATTCTGCATTTAGTTAACTTTAATTTTGTGTTATATCTTGTGGGTCATAGTCACTGACAAAGAGAGATGGTATAAAAAACAACCACAAGCTAATAGATAATAACTCTTACTATGTGACAGCCACAGCACTACATTCCCTACATACACAATCTCATTCAAATCTTCCAATGACGATTTTGAGTGGGTACTTTTATTGTTCCCATAACTTGACCAAGTTCACACAAATCAAAAGTGGCAGATCCTAGGCTTAAACTAAGATCAGCCTCACTAAAGAACTCAGACTCTTAAACGCTATATTGTATTGGCTTGTTTTTCTTACACTTGCCATGGGGTTATTTTAGAATAAAATATGCTATCGAATGAAATATGTGAATGGACTCTGTAATTGCATTCATTTGATTCCATCGTTTAAAAGCTCTCTTTTTGTTTTGCTTCCTCTGATGAGGGAAGTTCCAAGGTCATGTTTATTAGAGGCCTTTGAATAGTTTATGTAAATGAGAATATCGTTTAACTGTTCTATGCAATACCAATAACCAATATGGCTATTTTAGACCATTTTGTTCCACATAACTGGTCTTAAATAGCTGAAAGTTTTCTATGTAATAAACCAATTGCGTATGTTCTTTAAGTTTTGTCTTAATAAATCAATCACTATATATTTCGGTCAAACTCTTACTTTGTGCTTCGTTCAATAAAAATTTTCTATAGTAATATTTTTCTGGATGTTTCTGCAAAATTACAGCAATTTTCACAGAATTTTGAGATGTGAGCTCATTAAGTCAGCTTCTTGCTTAGTGGAAGAAAAGAAATTATTTTGTCAATTGTCATTTTTTACTTTTTATTACAGTGATGTGGAAACCACAATCTAAAACCAATGTAACTAAGGTTTGAAGACAAAACCAGGAAAAATATCACTGATCTCATTTACCATCAGTATTTCTTTGGGCTTCTGAAGCCACTTGTTTGCTCGTTTATCCCAAACTCAAAGGAAATCTAGACATAATTAATATTATATATTAATAATTTATTACATGAAAATATAATTTTTTAAAATAATGGATACTGGAAATTCCACATGGAAACTCTGTTGACTAGAACGATGTCTAAGAAACAAAGAGATGCTTTTGCCATGACTTGTTCTGCCATGCCATAGATTTGACATAAATTATTTAATTTCAGTATAATCTCATCTATAAAATGAAATCATTGACACCTGTATCATCCTACCTCCCGGAAATCTTGAAAGAATAAATAAACTGTGGTCTGAGGGACAGCTTGTTATAATTTCTGTTCTTTTACATTTGCTGAGGAAAGCTTTACTTCCAACTATGAGGTCAACTTTGGAATAGGTGTGGTGTGGTGCTGAAAAGAATGTATATTCTGTTGATTTGGGGTGGAGAGTTCTGTAGATGTCTATTAGGTCCGCTTGGTGCAGAGCTGAGTTCAGTTCCTGGATATCCTTGCTAACCTTCTGTCTCATTGATCAGGATCAAGAAACTCACTCAAAACTGCTCAACTACATGGAAACTGAACAACCTGCTCCTGAATGACTATGGGGTACATAACGAAATGAAGGTAGAAATAAAGATGTTCTTTGAAACCAACGAGAACAAAGACACAACATACCAGAATCTCTGGGACACATTCAAAGCATGTGTAGAGGGAAATTTATAGCACTAAATGCCCACAAGAGAAAGCAGGAAAGATCTAAAATTGACACCCTAACATCACAATTAAAAGAACTAGAGAAGCAAGAGCAAACACATTCAAAAGCTACCAGAAGGCAAGAAATAACTAAAATCAGAGCAGAACTGAAGGAAATAGAGATACAAAAACCCTTCAAAAAATCAATGAATCCAGGAGCTGGTTTTTTGAAAAGATCAACAAAATTCATAGACCACTAGCAAGACTAATAAAGAAGAAAACAATGAAGAATCAAATAGACTCAAAAAAAAAAAATGAAAAAAGGGATATCACCACCAATCCCACAGAAATACAAGCTACCATCAGAGAATACCATAAACACCTCTATGCAAATAAACTAGAAAATCTAGAAGAAATGGATAAATTCCTCGACACATACACCCTCCAAAGACTAACCAGGAAGAAGTTGAATCTCTGAATAGACCAGTAACAGGCTCTGAAATTAAGGCAATAATTAATAGCTTACCAACCAAAAAAAGTCCAGGACCAGATGGATTCACAGCCGAATTCTACCAGAGGTACAAGGAGGAGCTGGTACCATTCCTTCTGAAACTATTCCAATCAATAGAAAAAGAGGGAATCCTCCCTAATTCATTTTATGAGGCCAGCATCATCCTGATACCAAAGCCGGGCAGAGACACAAACAAAAAAGAGAATTTTAGACCAATATCCCTGATGAACATTGATGCAAAAATCCTCAATGAAATACTGGCAAACCGAATCCAGCAGCACATCAAAAAGCTTATCCACCATGATCAAGTGGGCTTCATCCCTGGGATGCAAGGCTGGTTCAATATATGCAAATCAATAAATGTAATCCAGCATATAAACAGAACCAAAGACAAAAACCACATGATTATCTCAATAGATGCAGAAAAGGCCTTTGACAAAATTCAACAACCCTTCATGCTAAAAACTCTCAATAAATTAGGTATTGATGGGACGTATTTCAAAATAATAAGAGCTATCTATGACAAACCCACAGCCAATATCATACTGAATGGGCAAAAACTGGAAGCATTCCTTTGAAAACTGGCACAAGACAGGGATACCCTCTCTCACCACTCCTATTCAACATAGTGTTGGAAGTTCTGGCCAGGGCAATCAGGCAGGAGAAGGAAATAAAGGGTATTTAATTAGGAAAAGAGGATTTCAAATTGTCCCTGTTTGCAGATGACATGACTGTATATCTAGAAAACCCCATTGTCTCAGTCCAAAATCTCCTTAAGCTGATAGGCAACTTCAGCAAAGTCTCAGAATACAAAATCTATGTGCAGAAATCACAAGCATTCTTATACACCAATAACAGACAGAGAGCCAAATCATGAGTGAACTCCCATTCACAATTGCCTCAAAGACAATAAAATACCTAGGAATTCAACTTACAAGGGATGTGAAGGACCTCTTCAAGGAGAACTACAAACCACCGCTCAATGAAATAAAAGAGGATACAAACAAATGGAAGAATATTCCATGCTCATGGGTAGGAAGAATCAATATCGTGAAAAAGGCCATACTGTCCAAGGTAATTTATAGATTCAATGCCATCTCCATCAAACTACCAATGACTTTCTTCACAGAATTGGAAAAAACTACTTTAAAGTTCATATGGAACCAAAAAAGGGCCCGCATTGCCAAGTCAATCCTAAGCCAAAAGAACAAAGCTGGAGGCATCACACTACCTGACTTCAAACTATACTACAAGGCTACAGTAACCAAAACAGCATGGTACTGGTACCAAAACAGAGATATAGACCAATGGAACAGAACAGAGCCCTCAGAAATAATGCCACATATCTACAACTATCTGATCTTTGACAAACCTGAGAAAAACAAGCAATGGGGAAAGGATTCCCGATTTAATAAATGGTGCTGGCAAAACTGGCTAGCCATACGTAGAAAGCTGAAACTGGATCCCTTCCTTACACCTTATACAAAAATTAATTCAAGATGGATTAAAGACTTATATGTTAGACTTAAAACCATAAAAACCCTAGAAGAAACTCTAGGCAATACCATTCAGGACATAGGCATGGGCAAGGACTTCATGTCTAAAACACAAAAAGCAATGGCAACAAAAGCAAAAATTGACAAATGGGATCTAATTAAACTAAAGAGCTTCTGCACAGCAAAAGAAACTACCATCAGAGTGAACAGGCAACCTACAGAATGGGAGAAAATTTTTGCAACCTGCTCATCAGACAAAGGGCTAATATCCAGAATCTACAATGAACTCAAACAAATTTACAAGAAAAAAACAAACAACCCCATCAACAAGTGGGCAAAGAATATGAACAGATACTTCTCAAAAGAAGACACTTATGCAGACAAAAGACACATGAACAAATGCTCATCATCACTGGCCATCAGAGAAATGCAAATCAAAACCACAACGACATACCATCTCACACCAGTTAGAATGGTGATCATTAAAAAGTCAAGAAACAACAGGTGCTGGAGAGGATGTGGAGAAATAGGAACACTTTTACACTGTTGGTGGGACTGTAAACTAGTTCAACCATTGTGGAAGTCAGTGTGGCAATTCCTCAGGGATCTAGAACTAGAAATACCATTTGACCCAGCCATCCCATTACTGGGTATATACCCAAAGGAGTATAAATCATGCTGCTATAAAGACACATGCACACGTATGTTTATTGCAGCACTATTCACAATAGCAAAGACTTGGAACCAACCCAAATGTCCAACAATGATAGACTGGATTAAGAAAATGTGGCACATATCCACCATGGAATACTATGTAGCCATAAAAAAGGATGAGTTCATGTCCTTTGTAGGGACATGGATGAAGCTGGAATCCATCATTCTCAGCAAACTATCCCAAGGACAAAAAACCAAACACCGCATATTCTCACTCATAGGTGGGAATTGAACAATGAGAACACATGGACACAGGAAGGGGAACATCACACACTAGGGCCTGTTGTGGGGTGGGGGAGTGGGGAGGGATAACATTAGGAGATATACCTAACATTTAATGAAGAGTTAATGGGTGCAGCACACCAACATGGCACATGTATACATATGTAACAAACCTGCACTTTGTGCACATATACCCTGAAACTTAAAGTATAATAAAAAAAAAGATGGTAACAAAAAAAAGAAAGAATAAATAAAATGTCTATACTATGTTTTGAATGCTTCAATTACCATTTACAATTAGTATAAAATGATTATATGTTACAGTAGAACTCAGAGTATCCTATTATTTATTAATGTAAAGCAAATACCCATCACTTCCTGTGAAGAGCCATATGTCCTCCCACTCTCAACCCAAAAGCAAGGTAGCACTTAGAGTATTGAGTGCACTAGAGTCTCTCAAAATATAGTTAAACTTGTGTAAATGGGAAGGCTTAGAGAATTTCTAGAAAAAATTCTCGTATTTTGCTATTTGTAATGACTGTTTAAAAATATGTTTCTCTGTTTTAGTTTAATGTAATTTCTCTGTATAATTTTATGTTAAAGAGAAAGTACTTCATTCAAATGTATGCTGTTTGCCATAATTAAGAAAATGTCTAATATAGATTTTCATGTTTTCAATAACTGTTATGTAATTAAAAATCACAGTTACCAGGAGTTGTAAATCTAATTACTCTGTTCCCTAGTTCTTACCTCCAATCAGTTTGAAGCATTATAACTTCTTTAAAGTCAATCCAAACTCACAGGAGATGGAAGAAGAGTCAAACTAGAAAATGATCCATTAGTCATGACACAATAAAAAATCAAGAAGCTTTCTTTTTAACAGTTGATAAGTAGTATTGACTGTTAAGTTTTACATTTAAAAGATAGTTAAAAGTATTGCATTATTCAAATGATAAGAATTTAGTATTTTCAGTAGGCTGGCCATGGTGGCTTACACCTGTAATCTCAGTACTTTGGGAGGCCGAGGCGGGCGGATTGCTTGAGCCCAGGAGTTTAAACCAGCCTGGGCACCATGGTGAAACCCCATTTCTACAAATAAATAAATAATAGCCTGGTGTGGTAGTGCAAACCCATAGTCCCAGCAACCAGCAACTTGGGAGAATGAGGCAGGAGTATCACCTGAGCCCAGGAGGCAGAGGTTGCAGTGAGCCATGATCGTGCCACTGCACTCCAGCCTGGGCAACAGAGGAAGACCCTGTCTCAAAAAAAAAAAAAAAATTTTTTTTCAGAAATAACTTGCACTAAGAATGTTGTCATTGCAATAAATAAAATTTAGATGTAAATCTACTAAAATAATAACTGCTACAAAATGTACCCCTTATCTATGAAGAAATTCTCAGCAATACAAGGTGGATTTGGTAGTCATTATTTATTCTCCAACTTGGTTAGTTTTCTCTTCTTCCTTTCTTTCTCTCTCTCATTTTTTTGAAGTGTAACTGCTTTATTATATTTTCTCTGATTATAAAATTGACGTGCTCATTGTGGAAAATAATCCACCATTGAGAGATAACAACCATTAATATTTGTTGTATAATTTTCTAGAAATATTCTTCAATATATACAGCCCTACTGTAGAATTTTTCAACAAATGGAGTCCAATCTACCCAGTTTTGTAGTTTGTCTTTCTTCACCTCACCATATAAATTCAATGCTTTTCCAGGTTATGAAATCAACAACAATATATATTTAAATTATTTTCTAGTTATTCATTGTATAGATGCATCATCTTTATAAAACTGAATCGATTATTAATGGATTTAGTTTGATTTTAGTGTTTGCACATTATAAACAATATTGCAATTAGAATTATTTTATATTTTTGTTTTCATGTCAGACAAAGAGCTGGAATAAATTTCAATAAGTGAAACTTAGAACAATAATGTTTTTATTACCTTTATAACAATTTTGATACTTATCACTAGAATGAGAATCACTATAAACTCTGAAGCCAGGTTGTCTTGGTTCAAATCACAACTTGTGTTGTCTCGAAAAGAAAAGAATGAGTCTTTATTTTGTTTGTGTCTTACCACATCTATTAAGTAGATATGCATTCCTCGTTACAAGCCTAGAGAGAAGAGTGTGTCATTCAATGGAATTTTGAAGAAGAGCTAGGGAAACCACTCTTCCATCTGGATTTTTGAAGCCCCCAAAACAATATTTCATATATGCTGGAAATCTTGTTCACCAGTTTTGTGATAGCATTATCTTTATTTGGTATTACCAATGCTAAAATTATATATTTTTATGGAGAGCCAATTTCTATGCATGTTTGTATGCACAATATAATCATCAGTGAATGTTTGTTTAATGTTTAATAAATATAAATTTATGTGCAATTTTGATTCACAGTTAAGATTATGCTTAAAGTATTCATTTACAAAGTTATCCCACAACTGCACACCAAATTTCTGACTGGAATAAAGAGGCTGATCAATTCCACTCATGTACTCCTCGCCCACTTTCTAGCTCCATGTTCCTTTCTCCTATCCGATTCATAATCCTCCACCACATTTTATGCCCTTTGGATTGGTTGTCATCCCCACTCTTTCTGACTGTGTGTCTTTCTTTTCTTTTTAAAAATATTTGACATAGTTGTTTATCTTTTTAATCCAATGTTTTGCTTCTTTTACAATGCCCTTTTATGTAATCCCTCTTCTGTTTCCAAGAATATTTGTCATATGTTCAAACTTTCCTAGAAAATCTTTAGTCTTTATCATTTCGACATTCAGCAGGATTTCCTCTGACACCTGAATTCCCCCTCAAGTTGAAGTAGTTCATTCTCCTAATCTCTAAATTCTAACAGCTAGGAAAAATAACATTTATTCATGGTCAGTTTCTATGAACACAACTTTTCACCTACGGCACCAAAAATTGAACTCCTATTGGCATTACCAATAGTTTGGAGTCTAGAGGTAGAGCAGGCTTTGTGTTTGCAGGTGGAATAATGTCTTCAATGACTCAGGTTCTTAACTTCTATGATCCTGGCTGGCTTCTAAGGCTGGTTTTCTTCATAGCTAAAGGATGGGTGCCAGTCATTGTCAGGGTTCTGTGTTTCCTCATGCATGTCAAACAGTCAGGGAGGTAGTTCTTCCTAGAAAAGCAAGCAAAGGGCCTTTCTAGAAAAATCCCAGCAAAAATCTTCTTGATTTTCATTGGCCATAATTGCTTATTAAAGCCATTCCAGAACTACTCACCACTAAGGAGCATAGAATTATGCTGATTGACTCAGACTAACCAGGACCACACCTGGAGTTGGGGATGAGTCCAGCTTCCCTTGGGTGAACAGGGCTTTGAGGAAGAGGAGTGAATATCTGAACAAAAGAATAGTCCTCTTTGGAAAAATAATAGGAAACATTAACTGGCTGGAAATATCCCACAAACAGTCCTAAGCTTTAAATATGTTTTAGTCATTTAGGAGACAAAACAACCTGAGAAAGGAGTTATTATTATATTATTACTGTCACTATCTTTGTCTTATAGATGAGGAAGGTAAGATACAGAGTTTGAGTGACATGCTAAGGTTTCAGAGTTCTTAGTGGCAGAACTGGAATTTATACTTGGACATCTGGCTTATAAGACTTTGCTGTTAACCACTAAGGCATGCTGTCTTTCTTATAGCCATACACCATTTTGTTTTGAAGTTAATGACGAAAGACCCAGGCTTTGTAGTTAATGTAGTCCTTGAATTGAATTCTAGTTTCTATATGTACAGGCTGTACAATTTTTGTGGGAAATGACTTAACCTTTCTGAATGCTAATTTCTTTACCTGTAGAATGAGTAAAATAATGACTACTACACATATATTATGTGAAGAATAATAAAATAGTGCTTATTTCTTGGACACATAGGAAGTGTTTAGTAAATGGCAGGTCTTCTCTAGGGCAAACATAATTCATGGTACAGCATTTGTAAATGTAAAATATACATAATAAAATGTCTGATTATTCTATTAATCATGCTATACAATATATAAACCTTTATTCCAATGATATAGAGAGTAGAATTTTACTTAAAGTATTTTCCTAAAATCTGACCCACATTAATAGATATGAATAAAACTACATACTGTATGCACTATTGCTCAGAAATGCTGTTTTTCAGTTAAATAATCTAAAAAGAATTGCATATAAAAGCACTTTAAACATTAGATATTTTTCTTTAATTTTTCACACAGTTATAAAGTTACTCTAACATGCCCCTGAATGTTGGCACAAAATCAAAATTTCAACTTAATGTGAATTCTGCCAAAATACTTAAGAAATATAAGCCCACAAATCTGGAGAACAATCTGGCAGCACTTAGTGACATCAAGAATGTGCAGCCCTATGACCCGGCAACTCTCCCCTGGGAGCCTCTTCCAAAGGTTGATCTGGAGGTTCTTTGCAGCTTTGTCTTGGCACCAGGGAATTATGAGAAACCTAGGTGTTCGTCTCCAGTAGAAGAGAAAAAAAAAAGTGTGGTAGATTAGCCTCTGGGCTGTGCAGTGGTCAAGAGCAATGATCTACATACAGCTGAGTCTATAGCCACAATGTTGAGTTAAAAATAACAATAAGCACATCTGTAGCAGAATGCCATGTTTATAAATTTAAAACAGAGACATTCATAAAACAACAATGCACGTTTTTCAAGGATACATAGTAATTTAAGTGGAGTAGGTGACTATATAAAGAAGGTAATAGCAGTGAAGAGTGGAAATAAAAGCAAAAAATAAAGCAATAGAGTGACTTGCATAGACTAATAATGACGGTGTATCATGAATTGAGAATTATGATTAATTCAATTTCCTATTTCTAAGGCTCAGTAAAAACAAAAAAGAAAAAAACAGTGAGAGAAAGGGACAGGGTAGGAATGAAGGAAAAGGAAAGAGAAAATTACAGGCAGGTCCTACTTCATGCATATCCATTTAACAGCTTCTCTTTTAATCTTGTCATACTAAGTGTAATTCAATTTGCATACCTGTATATCACCAGAGCATATTTCCTGAAGATGGCTGCATAAATTGTGCCTATTTATAATGTCTATATACTTATTACAGAGATATTTTGATTTTAAATTGATTGATTTAAGCCATATTGAAAGTAAAAGCAGGAAAAGCAAATTACCTTTTTACCTGCTTTGGTCCTTTACTAGGTCTGCTGAGCATTTGCTATAACAGAATAGTTTCTATAGCTATTTTTCAATCCTGTTCTTCAGGAAGAGAAAATAATAATAAAAGGGTAGTATATGTTTTGTGAACATACTGTGCACTGGCGCACAAAGATAATATATGTTATATTTTTCTAAGTTAATTTTTCTGCTATGAGATAGTTTAGCTAAGATAAAGCGTATATCAAACATTAAGAGAACCTAAGAGGAAAGACAGAATACAGACACACACAGCATCTCTTTGGACTGTGAAGATACCCTAGCTTACAAGATCCAGGACAGAACCTAGGGTGAATGAGAAGGAATGGAGGGAGGAAATTGACAGGGAAGATAGGTGACTTCCACACAAATACTGCAAGAGTTAACACTGAGCCAAGCCTTCTCAAATTATCTAGTCCCAATCCAGCACGAAAATTGGGAAAGGAACAGGTTATTCAGTAAATGGTGTTAGGAAAATTACCTACATAGTATACTGGAAACAAAATCCATTTAAGTTTTAACCAATTTCCATTTGCCTACATAAGTTCTATATAATAAAAACATATCAAAATTCTAAAAATCTATCTGACGAAAATAGAGAAAAATGTCAGTAGGTTTGCCTGCATTAAATTTAAAACTTCTGCAAATTAACAACAAAGTGAAAAAGTGAGTAATAAACATGCATGTTATAAATCTCTAAGAAAATCATTGAAATACCAACAGAAAAATTAGTGAAGCGCATCTACACAAAAAATTCCAATAACTGAGAAATAAACAAAAATTTAACTTTATGAAGTCAAAAATAGGTTACATAAAGAAGCAGCAAAGGAATGCTATTTGTCTAATGAATTAATCAAATTAATTTATTATTGACAGTGTAGATGTCTTGATACCTATGTGTGTCTATACATGAGTGGACTATCCGTTTACTGTGTGTCTGTGGTCTGTGTGTTCATCAGTGGGATTTACTTAATTTCACATTTCAAGATTGTGGGAAAATATAACCTTCCATGAAGATGTAAAATCAGTCTTATAAGGTTAATTGTTTTTCACAGTTTTATTTAGACTACACAATATACAGGAATCTAATTAACCTACACTGAATCACATGTTAATGACAAAGTTTAGTCTACAGTACAATGTGAGTGGATACTTTTTAAAAAATTAGATCACTCTGGGTCAATTTGATAACAATATTAAAAAATATAATAATCTCTGCTTTATACCATACACAAAATTTTAAGTATGAAAGTGTTCTAAATGAAAGGTATGCATATCTATGTATAAAACAAAAAACAACAAAGTCTTAGAAAAACAGCATAGAAGAACTTTTTTTTATTACCAGAAGAGGATAAAATTTCATAAACAAGATACATAAAGTGATAACCACAAAATTAAAAAATAATAAGGCTGGGTGCAGTGGCTCACGCCTGTAATCCCAGCACTTTGGGAGGCCGAGGCAGGTGGATCACCTGAGGTCAGGAAGGTCAGGAGTTCTAGACTAGCCTGACCAACATGATGAAACCCCATCTCTACTAAAAATACAAAAATTAGCTGGGTGTGGTGGCAGGCGCCTGTAATCCCAGCTACTCGGGAGGCTGAGGCAGGAGAATCACTTGAACCTAGGAGGCAGAGGTTGCAGTGAGCCGAGATCACACCTTTGCACTCCAGCCTGGGCAACAAGAGCAAAACTGTCTGAAAATAAAAATAAAAATAAAAAATAAAAAAGTGGGTACTAGCTGAAAGAATGGAGTCACAGGATTTTTGTAAAATGAGATAATCTAAAGCATGTTTGTATACTGACTAGTGTGTTCTATTAGAGATGGAGAATGTGATTATGTAGGAGAAAGAAGGCATTGGAGAATTGTCACAGGTGGATTCTAATATGGCCCCAGTGATCCATAGTCCTTGAGTATTCATCCCTTTCCCCGAGTGTTGGCTAGCCTAGCAAATTGCTTCTAATGGAATGTGGTAGAGATTATAGGCTGTCACTCACATGATTAGGTTACATAAGACTATGACTACTGTCTTGCTTTCAGACTCTCTTCAGCTTTGATAAAACAAGCTGCCATATTGGGAAGTCCCATGTGGCAAGCATCTGATGATGGGTTCTGTATAACAGCCAGCAAATAACTGAGTCTCACAGTCAACACAAGTATAAAAACTGATTTGTGTCAACAGCCACATAAGTGAAATTAGAAACATATACTTCCCCAGTTGAGTCTTCAGATGAGACTCCAATGCTGGCTGACACCTTGATTGCAGCTTTGTGAAAGACTCTGAAGCAGGGGACACAGGTGGGACATTTCCAGATATCTGATGCACAAAAACTTTGCTAATAAATATCTGTTATTTCAAGATGCTAAGTTCTGGGGTAATTTGTTACACAGCAATAGATAATGAATACCAGAGTAAATAATTTGAGACAGCAAATAAGAAGATATAGAGCTGTGTAAGTGTTTCTTTGGATAGAAGCAGAGAATACTTCAACTACATAAGAAGAAAAAATTCAAAAATGTGGAGAGCCAATTTGGTAAGTTTGGAAATTGAACAATCAAAGGGGTTTGTTTATAAATAAAATATGGAGCAATTTCATCAAATAAGACTAAGGAGAAGAGAAAAAAGATGTACTAATTTTAAGAGAGAGAATGTTTGAAATAGTAGCTTTGGAGGATGGTGAAGCAAACATCCTGGGAAAGGGTAGCATGAATTTCAAACGTTAAGGATTATCTGCTCCTTTGAGAGACAGTATAGCTTCAGGATTGAGAACACAGGTTATGGAGCTGGGCCACCTATAGATTTTCCTAGTGTTGCCCCAGCAAATGACCACAAACTGAGTGACTTACAACAGAAACATATTCTCTCATAGTCCTGGAGACCAAAAGTCAAAATCAAAGTGTTAGCAGGGCCATGCTTGCTCTGGAGGCTTTAGAGGAGATTCCTTCCTTGCCTCTTCTTGTTTCTGGTAACTTCAGGCATTCTTAGGCTTGTGGCTGTATCTTTCCATTCTCTGCCTCCAAGGTCACATTGCTTCCTCCTCCTCCTCTCTGACTCTTCTTTCTTTTGTCTCTTGAAAGTACACTTATCATTGAAATCAGAGCCCACCCAGATAATCTAGATGATACCTCTCACGATCCTTAATTTACCTCAGAAAGACTGTTTTTCCGAGTAAGATCACAGTCACAGGTTCCAGGGGCTAGGATGTGGGCCTCCAGTCACCATTCAACTCACTATACCACTGATGTCCAACTCATGGTTCTGCTGTCTCTAACAGCGTGTCCTTGGGCAGGTCATTGCACTTCCCCGCGCCTTAGTTTGTTCATCTGTAGCACAGGGGGTTATGGGAGGAATATTAGATGAGTCAATATATATGTAAAGTGCCTATAATTGTTCTTTTTATGTATTAATTATTAATGAATTATTACAAAATGTGAACACTATTTACAATGGGAAAAATGACATATAAGTCAGATTGCTAAAATACACTTTTTTTCTCATTCTAATAGTTTACCCTGAACTCTTATTTTTGATGATGTCCGACTCTGGCCTTGAGTCAGTAAAACATTTTTAAGATGGTTGAGTCATATATTTGTAAAGTGTGCATTTTTGCATGTTTTCTGATTTGAAAAACATTATTATAAATAACTTCCTTCTCAAAATGTGTTCCCTACCAGACAAGTAATTCAAGAATTATGATTCATTTGTCTTTATTATTTTTTTAAATTAGAGCACAAACAACAGGACTCTCCTATAAACATCCTGGGGAGACGGAAAGAGGAGCAGAAAGACATAATTGCAAACAGGCGTAATATTTTGCAAAAATTTAAATAATTTTCTATCTCAATTTAAATCTGACTTTCCCCATTTATAATATACCATGTGGTTTATCATGCAAGGAAAAGAGAGAGAGCAGATTCTACTGAGAACAAATTCAAAGTTAACTTTCCTGTGTCCATAAGAAGGCATTATTCTTGAAAGCTAGGTTTTACAGAAAAAAGAAATACTATTTTTTTTAATTTTCAAAATATACATATCAGGAGCAACCCTGATATGTGTATTTTACCTGAAGATTTACCATAAGCCATAGGTAGAGGGGACTCAGAATATGACACAAGTACAGTACCCACTCGATGTCAGAAAAGAAAAGAGAAAAGAAGAAGCTGAAATGGTCAAACACATGTACCATTTCCCTCTTTCCTTCCTATATCCCTTCTGTGGTTAAACTCGATGTGAACATTCTTAGAAAAGTGTATTCTTTACCTCCATCCTCACACTTTCAAACCTTGGAAATGCTCAGGGCTTGAAATAGCAACCCTATCTCCCTATTTTCCCTCTGCTTTTGTGCCATATAAAGTGAATTCAGAAGTTGTTAAGTCCTCCAAGTAAGAGGTTTTAGGAAATTAGATGAGTAGAGAGATAGTAGTGGTTGCCATGGAGGAGGGATAAGGTAACCCTGAAATAGAGACTTCAGGACACACCAAACATTGGATTGGTTGGAGCAAGAAGAAAAGGTTTAGATATTGGTAGCACCGACAAGAACTGAGCCCGGGCCAAGTCAGAAAGGGGAGGAACATTAAGACCTATGTTGGCCACTTGGTCAGGTCTGCGTGAGACTGAGGTCATCAGGAGAGTATGAGACTTTCTCTTTCAAAGCCAGGAAAGTCCTGGGAGAACCAACATGAGTTGATCCTTCTACCAGGCCTTAACTATGCTAAAACTAGGCCACAAGTTTCCATGAACTCAGACTTCAGTGGCAGAAACCAGCAGGATATATCTATGCATATGAGGCCATAACATACTCAATCTTCACACAATCTTACAAACCTGATGTCATAGCCAGATGTCATCTTAGCTACAAGAAAAGGTGAAGGCAACAAGTCCTGGGTTGTTGAAGAAATACTTAAACACTAATTATTTACATGAAAGAGATTGATTTTATCCCCAAAAACTGTTTAAACCAAGGAATATGCATTTAACTGTTAAGCTTATGTCCTTCCTTCTTTCAGCACTATGCAAGTGGGGCTCAGGAGCAGGAAGAAGTCAGTTATAGAACATGAAGGCACTCTAATTTCTTGCTCACCTAAGATAAAGGGTATAAGGTTTTGATATCTGTAGATATGTGTGGTGGTTTCATAGAATGTCAATTTAGCTAAACTGGATTGATGTTTTAAGAATTCCTTTCCCTGAATGGTTTTGGATTCTGATAGGCCAAGAGCATAATTTGTGCAAGGTTTGGAAGGCAGAAATGATGCAGCAGCCATATGTATGCTGGGAAGGTTGGTAGAGGGTCAGGTGCTGTGTCCTCACACATCGTGTCCTACATCTGCTAGCTCACCTCCTTGGCATGGATCAACAGCTCCTGCAGCTCCCACTGGATACTTCTTCAGTTTCTCCAGATTTGAGCCATTTCATATACAGCTCCATGGCAGTGTCACCAATTTCTTCAACGTTGGAGGCCAAGAGGCAGTGAGACTCAGATGCAGGTGCCAATGAAAGACAGAAGCAGGCTCCAGCACGTTCTTGTGGGTTCCAGCTCATCTTCATGGTCCTCAGTTTGTCTTTGTTCTCCAGACTTCTTATCTATCTCCCCTTCCTTGCTGTTAGCACTTGCTGACTTCAGGCACAGCTTCAGATACAGGAGGGGTACACTTAGACAGATGCCCAATCAGCTGCCACAATCACACGAGATCTAATTACCATGATCAATGTGTTACATCCCTCAGAGTGGTTCAGCTTCTGTGATGGAATCCACAGGATCCCCAGTTGGTGACAGCAACCTTATTATCATCTTAATTTTTGAGATGAAGCCACCATAGGTAACAGAGTTTAAGTATTTAGCCCCAAGTCATACAGCTCATAAGTTGCAACCTGAGATTTAAATCTGGGTTTCTCTGGTTTCACATGCCTCACTTTTTCCAAGTTGGCTTTCATTAGTCATTATAATCCCAGGTCAATCAGTTGATTATGTTAGCCATTGCCTATCAAACTTCTGGAAGAATGAAACAGAGGGCAGGCAAATTATAACTTAGGAGAATGGAGAATGGGTGCTGCTGGGGAGGCAGGCCCGGGTGGAAAGCCATGAAGGCTAAGTTCTGGTTGCCTGGGTTTGAAGGCCCTAATACTAGGAAATAACACACACCCTGTGTCAGGCTTTTCCTAAGTGCTTTACACTTATTAAATCATTTAAGCTTTACAGCAACTGTAAGAGGTGGGTATTATTACTAATCCTACTTTACAGATGGATAACATTACTCAATCAGTTGGCATAGAGCAAGGATTCACACTCAGAAAGTTGGCTTAAGGAGTTGTATTCTCTGAACAAAATAGAAAATATACTATATGGTAGAGATGAGTTTCACTAGGAGAGTCAGGACTTCACTGAACGCTAACTTTAGGTACCTCACAATTTGTCGAGCTAACGACGCACTCAGGAAAAATAAAGGCCTGCCATTTTTTTTAAAGATAAAATAGAAAACAAATTACATTCCTAAGGATTTTCCTCATGTAACTTATTTATCTTACACTTTTTACAGGATATTAAATTGCTAAGAAAAGTTTTGAGCAACTAAATATTGTAACCACCAAGATTATGAATCACTAACATAAATTTCATTAAAGTCAAATTTCAGGAAAATGGACAATTTGCTAAATTGTGGATTGACAGATTCCTCAAGTGTTCACAGCAAATGTTCCAGCTTTACTAAGATTTTTGTTTAGTTGCTTTCTGTAGTAAATGATTGATTCTCATATTATACAGGCAATCTGCTTAATTACATTAATTTTTAAACTTATGTCTATAGAAGAAAGGCCTTTATTGTTCACCTAACATAATTAAAAGTAGGAAAAAGCAAATGAAATGTGAACTCTAAAGAGGGATATAGCTGTTAACAAAAAGAAAAACGAAGGAGAAAAAAAGAAAAGAAGAAAGAGCATGGAGGATTTCCGGAGTATTTATTTTAATTCTTGGAATTGGGATTTTGAAATGAAGCTTAAATATTATTCTATTAGAATGCAATTTGCTGACTCTTAGGCTAAGCCAAGCATCCCAAAGATTCTGTGAAGAGAATCTTAATAACTGTTACTGCTTAATATAGTTAGGAGATGTCCTCCCGAACGTCAGGGACTCTTATCCTGGATGTCATCTTAAAGCAAAATAGAAAAAAGGGTTAAACCTCAGTAAAGAGGTCTGAAAGCAAAGCATTAATTTGATCTCATTTTGCTATTTTTTTTTTTTTGCTGTAAAGTAGGAGTTACATTAGAAAGAAGAAATGATCAAGTGAATAAAACTTAAGGAATATATATTTAATATATGACTCTTTTTTTTTAAAATTATACTTTAAGTTTTAGGGTAAATGTGCACATTGTGCAGGTTAGTTACATATGTATACATGTGCCATGCTGGTGCGCTGCACCCACTAGCTCATCATCTAGCATTAGGTATATCTCCCGATGCTATCCCTCCCCCCTCCCACCACCCCACAACAGTCCCCAAAGTGTGATATTCCCCTTCCTGTGTCCATGTGATCTCATTGTTCAGTTCCCACCTATGAGTGAGAATATGCGGTGTTTGGTTTTTTGTTCTTGCGATAGTTTACTGAGAATGATGATTTCCAATTTCATCCATGTCCCTACAAAGGACATGAACTCATCATTTTTTATGGCTGTGTAGTATTCCATGGTGTATATGTGCCACATTTTCTTAATCCAGTCTATCATTGTTGGACATTTGGGTTGGTTCCAAGTCTTTGCTATTGTGAATAATGCTGCAATAAACATACGTGTGCATGTGTCTTTATATGACTCTTGAATAAATGAAAAGTGCCCTCATTACACTATCCCAAAAAATATATTAGAGATGAAAAACAATGATTCTTCCAATTTCTGTAGGACCATAGGGTTTACAAAATGCATTCACAAATATTATATTTTTGATCTTCCCTCACATCAACTCCTCAAGGAAGGACAGGCATTACCATTTTCATTATTGTGCAAATGAAAAAACTAAGTATCAGAACTTTAAGTGAATTGTTCAAAGTCATAGGCTAGAATTTGAACATTGATCAACTAATCCTAAAATTAATGCTTATTTCACATTTAAACTATTTAGCTTTTTTTTCTTAGTTTTGAAAAGCTTAGCACCAAGAATTATTGCCATTTTGCTTCTATATATCTTCTCCAGTTGAGATTATACACTAAACAGATTTATTATCCATTATACTTTACAATACTCAGGCCCCCTATTCTTCCATAAAACCAATTTTTTTATAAATGGTAACAGGACAATTAAAATATTCCCCCATAATACCATTTTTAAAAATGTATTTTACCAGAAATATCTGGATTTCGTTCTAATATCAATGCTGTGTAGAAGAACTAAATCAATTCTACTGACAAATTGGAGATACGGACTTACCAAAATTATGGGTTCTTTAGATTTTCAAAACGTCTAAATGTTTTATGGAAATGTATCAGAGAAAGAATAGAAATAGAATAAAAAGTTTCAGTCAGAAAAATAAACTGGACCATTGACTTAGTTGCAAAACAAGTGACTTGCATTTCTACCACAGAAGTTGGCTTAAGTTCCAAGGTAAATAAGGGACATGCTTTTCTATTTAATAAAATATTAGTATTCTGGCTTGTGAGAATCTCGATCTTTAGAAAAATATTTTGTTTTATGAAATACACCTTTTCCTAATCCAATCTATTCTCTAAGAGCCTGCATTAGGGGTAGAGAACTTTGTCTACTTTTGTTCTCAGTTGTAACTCTGATGCCCAGAGCAATATCTGACACATGATAAATACTCTACAAATATTTGCTGAGTGAATGAAGAAAATGTGTAAGCATAGGTTTAGTAGAGAAATTGGTTTCCTATTGTGTTAATCTGTTCTTACACTGCTAATAAAGGCATATCTGAGACTGGGTAATTTATAAAGAAAAAGAGGTTTAATGAACTCACAGTTCCACATGTCTGAGGAGGCCTCATAGTCCTGTGGTAAGGCAAAGGAGGAGCAAAGGCATGTCTTACGTGGCGGCAGGCAAGAGTGTATGTGCAGGGGAGATTGCCCTTTATAAAACCATCAGATCTCATGAGATTTATTCACTATCATGAGAACAGCATGGGAAAACCCACCTCCATGATTCAGTTACCTCCCACTGGATCCTTCCCATGACACATGGAGATTATGGGAGCTACAAGTCAAGATGATATTTGGGTGGGGACACAGCCAAACCATATCATCTAACTTCTTTCAAATAATAGAGATGTGTGAGGAGGATTGGGGTCATCAATATAGTTTATAAAATCTATTTTTTTTGTTCTTCACCCTATCCTTCAACTCTGGGCTTCACTTACTTGGCATAATTTCTGCTGTCTGTACACTTGATGATACAGGAAGGAACGAGGGGGTAAAGACAGTGAAACAGTCTAGGTTGGAGCAGGTAAGAAGGATGGAATTCCATCTTTTCCTAGTCTTTTATCTTTTACTTAATTTCCATGTATGTCTTTTCCGACCTCTAATTTTAATTGCTCTCCATTCGTCTGATAAATACTATCATTGATATATTTTCTACTACACACTTAATACATACCTCCTATAACCTGTTGGAACCTTAACAGACATATATATCTCTGGAACAACTGCTAATAAAATTAGCAGCAGTCCTTTGAAAGTTGCAAGGAAATTGTCTAAATATTCAATTATTATGAACTTTGAAAATTAAAAATAAGGTGCAATAAAATATCACCAATCACAAAAAAAATACATATAGCTAAATTTGAAGTCAACAATCCTTGCTAGCTATTGGTAATTCTGCTTTATTTAATTATCTGCAGAAAATTGCCAAAGGAAAGTTAGCTCCTGTTTCTCTAAAAGTTCTGTTTTCATGTATGCTAACGGCTGTACTCTGATTTTAAGATTAGGCATGAAGACTTAGATTTGGCATCTAAGTGTCCATAGATCTTGTTCTATTGACAAACTGGAGATACGCACTTACCAAAATTAACAGTTCTTTAGATCCTTCAAAATGTCCGATTGTATTATGGAAATTTATCAGAGGAAGAAATTGGTTCAATATTCATATTAAAATATGAGTTTCTATGCTTCTTTTGGTAAACACTAAATTACTTAGCGTTCAGAAAAGCAATCCCCTAGAATAGTTTTAATAGTGTAGACTTTCTGTCCGTTGACTCATAAAATCTCCCAAATTTAATTGTTCTGTGTATATTACAGCTGGCAGTGTACAGCTTGAGTTTAGAGTCTAATCTAATAACCGTGTCTGAAGTAAATTTTTAACAGAAAACCTTTTGAAATGAGGTCTTACCGTCCCTTTTTCTCAAGCAGAAGAGTATTTTGATGGGTGCATTGATCTGTGACACACTCTGTGTCACCATTGAATAATACTTCAGTTTCCACAAATAATTATAATAAAATCAAAATATTAATATCATTATTATCTACTTGTAAATATATTCTGTTGCCCTACTTACTAACCTTTTTCTCTTTTCCCGTGACCTGTGGGTTTTGCATTTATTTTCACATTTTTCATATGTTATATCTTACCACACTCATGCCTTTACTTTTGAAAAGGAGACATTGCTTCTTACATTTTAGTATAATAATTTACTTTTTAACAGACAGGCATTTATATTCTTCATTTCTAAAATTTTATTTTAAAATTATGTTTATAATCAGCCTCACAAACATTCCTAAATAAATCATCTCAGTAATTTTGAAATTTACATGTTGTCTCGCCCTCTCTACATACTCCTTAAATTGAATAAATCACAAGTAGTTCCTGTTAATATTTAAGATTAAACATACTAATGTTTAAGGATATAAACCTAAACTTCACTGGTTCATAGTGAAGTGAAGGCTTAACTACTATTCCCTATAGAATTCTTTGTATGCAAACTTTTCTTAAATCACATCTGAATTGGTTTAGCTTCTGAAGAATCCAAAATAACTTTTAATAATATAGTTTCACACTCATGAAGTAACCCACAGCATGTACCTTGAAGATAAAGTTGAATAAACTCCTATGTTCTTCTTCTAACTCGGAACTTAATGTTAAAAAAGCATGTGTCACTAAAATAATATAGTCTACTGAGAAAGTCATAACATAGCACATATTTGGTTCTCTAGAGAAGGGTTGTCAAACTATGACCTAAAGGATGAATCTGACCTGCCACCTATTTTGTCACTAAGGTTTTATTGGAATAAAGTTACATCAATTTGTTGATGTATTGTCTATGGTTTATTCCTACTACCATGGTAACAGGGACTGTATGGACCTCAAGGCCTGAAATGCTAACTATCTGCAGGCCCTTTATAGAAAATTCTCTAGAGCATTGTGTAAATAGCATCAGGGCGACCACATACGTCATCGACCCTATCAGAAGACGATGTCTGTGTTCAAATGTTTATATAACCCGTTGGTACTTTACAAATTAATTTGTACTGCTTTGTTAACCACACAGCTTAGAAAAATATACAGTGCAAATTTTAAAATAGTAAAAATGTTTTAAAGAAGGAGGTGACAGTGCTTCCTAAAATAAAGAAAATCAAACCAGTGTCCCTGATAAAGCATAATATAGCAGATAATAGAATTTTAAATGTTTACCTAATGTAGAATACCAGAATGAAGAAAATTGGACAGACATAGTGTTTGAGTCTAATTATTAAAATTAGAGAGTGAAAAAAATAGCCTTATCACTAGGAGTTTTTTTTTTTACTAAATAATTTTTAAACGTTTATGGAATGAAACTTAATACAAATGGCTTTAAGTATGTAAAGTATACAATCAGTCAAGAGTAAAAAGTTAAGGGTATTCAAATAGGAAGAGAGAAAGACAAACTGTCTTTGTTTGCAGATGACATGATCCTATATCCAGAAATCTCCATCATCTCAGCCCAATAGCTTCTCAAGCTTATAAGCAACTTCAGCAGTCTCAGGATACAAAATCAATGCGCAAAAGTCACAAGCATTCCTATACACTGACAACAGGCAAGCAGAGAGCCAAATCATGAACGAACTCCCATTCACAATTGCTACAAAGAGAATAAAATACCTAGGAATACAGCTAAGGACCTCTTCAAGGAGAACTACAAACCACTACTCAAGGAAATCAGAGGGCACAAAGAAATGGAAAAACTATTTGATTCTTCTCTGTTTTCTTCATTAGTCTTGCTAGCGGTCTATCGATTTTGTTGATCTTTTCAAAAAACCAGCTCCTGGATTCATTAATTTTTTGAAGGGTTTTTGTGTCTCTATTTCCTTCAGTTCTGCTCTGATTTTAGTTATTTCTTGCCTTCTGCTAGCTTTTGAATGTGTTTGCTCTTGCTTTTCTAGTTCTTTTAATTGTGACATTAGGGTGTCAATTTTGGATCTTTCCTGCTTTCTCTCATGGGCATTTAGTGCTATAAATTTCCCTCTACACACTGCTTTGAATGTGTACCAGAGATTCTGGCATATTGTGTCTTTGTTCTCATTGGTTTCAAAGAACATCTTTATTTCTGCCTTCATTTTGTTATGTACCCAGTAGACATTCAGGAGCAGGTTGTTCAGTTTCCATGTAGTTGAGTGGTTTTGATTGAGTTTCTTAGTCCTGAGTTCTAGTTTGATTGCACTGTGGTCTGAGAGACAATTTGTTATAATTTCTGTTCTTTCACAGTTGCTGAGGAGTGCTTTACTTCCAACTATATGTTCAATTTTGGAATAGGTGTGGTGTGGTGCTGAAAAAAATATATATTCTGTTGATTTGGGGTGGAAAGTTCTGTAGATGTCTATTAGGTCTGCTTGGTGCAGAGCTGAGCTCAATTCCTGGGTATCTTTGTTAACTTTCTGTCTCATTGATCTGTCTAATGTTGACAGTGGGGTGTTAAAGTCTCCGATTATTATTGTGTGGGAGTCTAAGTCTATAAAAAATGATAAAGGTGATATTATCACTGATCCCACAGAAATACAAACTACCATCAGAGAATACTACAAACACCTCTATGCAAATAAACTAGAAAATCTAGAAGAAACGGGTAAATTTCTCGACACATACACCCTCCCAAGACTAAACTAGGAAGATGTTGAATCTCTGAATAGACCAATAACAGGCTCTGAAATTGTGGCAATAATCAATAGCTTACCAACCAAAAAAAGTCCAGGACCAGATGGATTCACAGCCGAATTCTACCAGAGGTACAAGGAAGAGCTGGTACCACTCCTTCTGAAACTATTCCAATCAATAGAAAAAGGAATCCTCCCTAACTCATTTTATGAGGCCGGCATCATCCTGATACCAAAGCCTGGCAGAGACACAACCAAAAAAGAGAATTTTAGACCAATATCCTTGATGAACATTGATGCAAAAATCCTCAACAAAATACTGGCAAACCGAATCCAGCAGCATATCAAAAAGCTTTTCCACCATGATCAAGTGGGCTTCATCCCTGAGATGCAAGGCTGGTTCAACATATGCAAATCAATAAATGTAATCCAGCATATAAACAGAATCAAAGACAAAAACCACATGATTATCTCAAGAGATGCAGAAAAGGCTTTGACAAAATTCAACAACCCTTCATGCTGAAAACTCTCAATAAATTAGGTATTGATGGGACATATCTCAAAATAATAAGAGCTATCTATGACAAACCCACAGCCAATATCATACTGAATTGGCAAAAACTGGAAGCATTCCTCTGAAAACTGTCACAAGACAGGGATGCCCTCTCTCACCACTCCTATTCAACATAGTGTTGGAAGTTCTGGCCACGGCAATCAGGCAGGAGAAGAAAATTAAGGGTATTCAATTAGGAAAAGAGGAAGTCAAATTGTCCCTGTTTGAAGATGACATGACTGTATATCTAGAAAACCCCATTGTCTCAGCCCAAAATCTCCTTAAGCTGATAAGCAACTTCAGCAAAGTCTCAGGATATAAAATCAATGTACAAAAATCACAAGCATTCTTATACACCAATAACAGACAAACAGAGAGCCAAATCATGAGTGAACTCCCATTCACAATTGCTTCCAAGAGAAAAAAATACCTAGGAATCCAACTTAAAAGGATGTGAAGGACCTCTTCAAGGAGAACTACAAACCGCTGCTCAAGGAAATAAAAGAGGATACAAAGAAATGGAAGAACATTCCATGCTCATGGGTAGGAAGCATCAATATCATGAAAATGGCCATACTGTCCAAGGTAATTTATAGATTCAATGCCATCTCCATCAAATTACCAATGACTTTCTTCACAGAACTGGAAAAAACTACTTTAAAGTTCATGTGGAACCAAAAAAGAGCCTGCATCACCAAATCAATCCTAAGCCAAAAGAACAAAGCTGGAGGCATCACACTACCTGACTTCAAACTATACTACAAGGCTACAGTAACCAAAACAGCATGGTACTGGTACCAAAACAGAGATATAGATCAATGGAACAGAACAGAGCCCTCAGAAATAATGCCACATATCTACAACTATCTGATCTTTGACAAACCTGAGAAAAACAAGCAATGGGGAAAGGATTCCCTATTTAATAAATGGTGCTGGGAAAACTGGCTAGCCATAGGTAGAAAGCTGAAACTGGATCCCTTCCTTACACCTTATACAAAAATTAATTCAAGATGGATTAAAGACTTATATGTTAGACCTAAAACCATAAAAACCCTAGAAGAAACCCTAGGCAATACCATTCAGGACATAGGCATGGGCAAGGACTTCATGTCTAAAACACCAAAAGCAATGGCAACAAAAGCCAAAATTGAGAAATGAGATCTAATTAAACTAAAGAGCTTCTGCACAGCAAAAGAAACTACCATCAGAGTGAACAGGCAACCTACAAAATGGGAGAAAATTTTTGCAACCTACTCATCTGACAAAGGGCTAATATCCAGAATCTACAATGAACTCAAACAAATTTACAAGAAAAAAACAAACAACCCCATCAAAAAGTGGGCGAAGGATATGAACAGACACTTCTCAAAAGAAGACATTTATGCAGACAAAAAACACAGAAAAAATGCTCACCATCACTGGCCATCAGAGAAATGCAAATCAAAACCACAATGAGATACCATCTCACCCCAGTTAGAATGGCAATCACTAAAAAGTCAGGAAACAACAGGTGCTGGAGAGGATGTGGAGAAATAGGAACACTTTTACACTGTTGGTGGGACTGTAAACTAGTTCAACCATTGTGGAAGTCAGTGTGGCAATTCCTCACGGATCTAGAACTAAAAATACCATTTGACCCAGCCATCCCATTACTGGGTACATACCCAAAGGAGTATAAATCATGCTGCTATGAAGACACATGCACACGTATGTTTATTGCAGCACTATTCCCAATAGCAAAGACTTGGAACCAACCTAAATGTCCAACAATGATAGACTGGATTAAGAAAATGTGGCACATATCCACCATGGAATACTATGCAGCCATAAAAAATGAAGAGTTCATGTCCTTTGTAGGGACATGGATGAAACTGGAAACCATCATTCTCAGCAAACTATCCCAAGGAGAAAAAACCAAACACTGCATGTTCTCACTCATAGATGGGAATTGAACAATGAGAACACATGGACAGAGGAAAGGGAACATCACACTCCGGGGACTGTTGTGTGGTGGGGGGAGGGGGGAGGGATAGCATTAGGAGATATACCTAATGCTAAATGACGAGTTAATGGGTGCAGCATACCAGCATGGCACATGTATACATATGTAACAAACCTGCACATTGTGCACATGTACCCTAAAACTTATAGTATAATAATAATAAAAAAAAAGAAATGGAAAATCTTTCCATGCTTATGGATAGCAAGCATCAATATCATGTAACTGGCCATACGGCTCAAAGTAATTTATAGATTCAATGCTATTTCCATTAAACTACCATTGAAATTCTCACAGAATTAGAAAAAACTATTTTAAAATTCATATGGAACCAAAAAAGGGCTCGTATAGCTAAGACAATCCTAACCAAAAGGAACAAAGCTGGAGGCATCATGCTACCTGACTTCAAATATACTACGAGGCCACAATAACCAAGACAGTATAATACCAGTACAAAAACAGACACATAGACCAATGGAACAGAATACAGAGCTCAGAAATAAGACTGCACATCTACAAGCATCTGATCTTCAATAAACCTGACAAAAACAAACAATGAAGAAAGGATTCCCTATTTAATAAATGGTGCTAGGAAAACTGGCTAGCCATATGCAGAACGTTGAAACTGGACCCCCTCCTCACACCTTAGACAAAAATTAACTCAAGATGGATTAAACACTTAAATGTAAAACCCAAAACCTTAAAAAACCTTAAAAGAAAATCTAGACAATATCATTTAGGACTTAGGCACGGGCCAAGATTTCATGTTAAAGTCACCAAAAGCAATTGCAACACAAGCAAAAATTGACAAATTGGATCTAATTAAACTAAAGAGCTTTTGCACAGCAAAAGAAACTATCATCAGAGCAAACAGGCAACCTACAGTGTGGGAGAAAATTTTTGCAATCTATCCATCTGACAAAGGTCTAATATACAGAATCTACAAGGAACTTAAACAAATTTACAATTAAAAAAAGACCTCATTAAAAAGTGGACAAAGGACATAAACAGACACTTCTCAAAAGAAGACATTCATGTGCCCAGCAAACAGGAAAAAGCTAAACATCACTGATCATTAAAGAAGTGCAAATCAAAACCACAAGGAGATACTATCTAATGCCAGTTGGAATGGCAATTTTTAAAAAGTTAACAAGCAGCAGATACTGGCGAGGTTGCAGAGAAATAGGAACGCTTTTACACTGTTGGGTATGTAAATTAGTTCAACCACTGTGGATGATGGTGTGGTGATTCCTTAAAGATCTAGAATCAGAAATACCATTTGACCCAGCAATCTCATTACTGAGTATGTACCCAAAAGAATACAAATCATTCTATTACAAAGATGCATGCACCTCTGTGTTTATTGCAGCACAATTCACAATAGCAAAGACACGGAATCAACTCAAATGCCCATCAACAATAGACTGGATAAAGAAAATGTAGTACATATACATCATGGAATACTATGAAGCCATAAAAAGGAACGAGATTATTTCCTTTGCAGGGACCTGGATGGAATGGGGAACCATTATCCTCAGCAAACTAACAAAGGAACAGAAAACCAAACACTGCATGTTCTCACTTGTAAGTGGGAACTGAACAATGAGAAGACATGGACACAGGGAAGGGAACAACACCCACTGGCACCTGTCAGTGGGTGGGGTGAAGGGAGGGAGAGTGTCAGGAATAATAGCTAATGCATGCTGGGCTTATTAACTAGGTGATGGTTTGGTAGGTGCAGCAAACTACCACGGCACATGTTTACCTATGTAAGAAAACCTGCACATCCTGTACATGTATCCCAGAACTTAAAATAAAGACAAAAATTTTAAAAACCCACCATTTCAACATGTCAATACAAACAAAATGTGTAAAATATACATCATAATAAAGAACTGGAACACTTCAGTGAATTTATGATTTAATTTTAGTTAAGTGTTTCCACAACTTGGTTAAGTTGTCAATATGCTAATGTTAATTTGTAAAAAATCTGAATTAGATTTTTAAAGGAATTTCATTGTTTTTAAACATGTCTTATGAATGAAATGAGGTTTATCACTGTTGGTGACTTAAGGGTTTGGGGAATGTATAGCATCCCTCACTTATTAGGTGTTGGTGGCTGTACTGGACACATTAAGATGTTTTTCTCACACTAGATGAGAACATTTACTGTGGGATCAATTAACTAATAGTATTTTACACTCATATATTCACAATATAATTAGTCCTCTTGAAGAGGACTCAGGCTGGGATTTGAACTAAGTCTTGTCTTACTCTTTACTACCTCTTCACCATAAATTGTCTCATTCTGTTATAAAGCTTTTAAGAGATCAGATATGATGTACCTCATTTAACTTCCTATATTAAAAAGTGAACATAGTACACAGGAGATACACAAGAGTTGAAAGAAAGAAGGGGTTGGTAATTAAATATTGGTGCTGAAACAACAACAAGGAATATCTGATTATTTTAAATAACTATACTGTTTTTTTTAAAAAAAATAATTAGGCTAATATACTCCAGAAGAACAATTAACACCTACCACAAATAAAATATTAAAAAGAAGCCAAGCATGGTGGCTCACACCTGTAATCCTACCACTGTGGGAGGCCAAGGTGAGCAGATTGCTTAAACCCAAGTGTTTGAGACTAGCCTTGGCAGCATGGTGAAACCCCCACTCTACAATAAGTAAGTAAGTAAATACATACATACATACATACATACAAAAAATTAGCCAGGTGTGGTGGTGCATGCCTGTAGCAGCAGATACTCTGGAGACTGAGGTGGGAGGCCAACCCTGGAAGTCGAGGCTACAGTGAGCTGTGATCGCACCACTGCACTCCAGCCTGGATGGCAGAGCGAGACCCTGTATTGAAAACATAAATAAATAAAGAGATAACTTACTAACATTTCATTAGTCTTTATAGGAATTCTTCTTTTCAAGGCCATCAATGACTTTCATGTTGATAAATCCAAAGATCAAGTCTCATTCCTTGAGTTTCTACCATCTTCCAAAGAATGACTCTTTTGCATCCTCCTTCACTAACTCTACCAACCTTAGCCCACTATCAAATATTCTTTGATGGATGTAATAAACCTTTATTACCTTGCTTTTTATGTACAAACTTTATGTATTTATTTTCAAATCCTTTAAAATATATAAACTTGTCCTCATTCAATTGAAACGTTTTTCTACCTATGAAAACTGGATATCTTTGGGTGGAATGGGGCGATATCTAATAATTTTTCCTATTAGAATACATGGATTTTTTTTCACTTAAAAATTTTCACCCAGCAGAAGAGTTTTCCTGAAAAAATTAAAATAATTAAGCCAGAGATAGGTGTACTTGTCTAAAAGGCCCATTTGGAAAGAAATGCAGAAAATGTGCCCACATCATTCTTAAATATTATAGGTTGGGTGTGTTTGATTACTGTCACTCTCAAATAACTATTTAGAAAAACTATAATTCAGAATATCAACACAGATGTAGCTCAGAAAAATTTACTTTTAAGAAAATTACATTAAAATGCAATTACTGCATTTATAGTCCATAAACTCATGTATGCCTGAATATGCCTCACCAAGCATTGAATGTATGCCTGATTATCACCCATAGGTCTGTAGGCATGGCAGCTTGTGAATGCTGATAGGACAGAGTCTCAGAATAGTTGGTCAATGGTTATTAATTGGCTAGTATACACTAAGAAGTAAAGGTTCATGGAAATTAATAATTCTTAACTTTATAAAATGTATTAGTTTATACATAGAAAATCTTGAATGAATTATAGCAGCATCTTAGATTTGTAAATCTGACTTGAAGCAATTAATCCTTTATTTCATTATCAATTGGGTCATAAATTCTAAAGCAAGAACTTTTAAAAATAGTGGCTTCTTCATTAAGAACTGTTAAGTATATAACTTTCCCAAACTGCTTTAGTTTCTTTCAAAAAAGCTTATTGCTCTTCCTGTCTACTTTTGTATACATGTTCACTTTTGAGGCATGGGATATATTATTTATGCTCTTTAGAATACAAATTGATAGTCTTGGTGAAAATAAAAGTGGGTTGAATAAGTGGAAATCTATAATATTTTTATTTTTATGGGGTAGGGTAACTGAGTTAATGCCATGAATGTGCATGATTTTGATAGTCTAATTCCAAACTGGGCAACTCTTATCATTGATGACATGTTAATTATGTTACTTAGAACACTGAAAAATAGTTTTTCCCTCCCAGATTTTTTGGTTACTTCATTCTAATGTACTGTTAGTCAATCAATGTTACACAGTATTAGTTTGTGCTAGTTCAAAGTCATAACATTATTATTCAATGTGGGCCTGAGAATTTCAATATCAATTATATTTCTAGAAGTATGTAGCAGAAAATTGTAATGTCTGTGTTAGTGGTGGATCAATAGTTGAAAGTTGGACTTGAGAACAGAAAAGATTGAAGAATAAAAATCAGATGGGTACCTAACAAGCTGTGCATTATTTTGGTCTAAGTTATTTAGGTCCTATTTTTTTTTTGAATTATGAAAAGTACCTACCACATTACTTGATACATAGTAGACATTAAACACTTTTTCACTTACTTTAAAATGTGAAAAGCAGTGAAATCTGAGTTTGTTTCAATAAAATGCATTTCAGAAAAGGGAAACAAAAAATAGGCAAAGTTAGCAACTCTTTGGCTTGGCAATGTAAATGCTCCTGGAACCTTGGTATGGCAACATGAATATTAGACTCTGATTCAAAAATTTAGGTAATAAATGAAGCATCAAATTGCTAGATTAAAAGTGGGCAATAAAGTAAATTAATACTTAATGTTGGATCAGAAATCCTACCAAGATACTCATGCATGTGTGCACACACATAACCACATAAAGATTTTAAGAGATTTTTAAAAAGAGCATTAAAGAATATTTCAAATGTATTATTTTTACTACAGATGACTTGTGGTGATGATTAACTATCATTTTCTTCTCTCCTTCTACCAGCTACTATGGAAAAACAAATTACTTGCTATATAAAATACAGGTTATCAGCAATATTGCTAATTGATGGTGTAGCTGCCAAATTCCAAGTCACATTCTGACAAAGAATATGACCTAATGTTACTCAATAACATTTCATCAATCACAAGCCAGAAAATAACCAACAGTCAGTATTTTCTTTGGATCAGTAATGCAACCTAATAGTGGCAGTTAACATTAAATTAAAGGCCAGTAACCAGATTAAAAAGTCTTAGTTTGTGATTTTTTTAAACTAAAAATGGATATGTATTAAATGATGTTTGAGCTGAATTCAAAATATGGGGAAAATCCCACCAATTTGATTAAAAACTTTCAATGAGTATTTAATGAGTACCTACCCTTGCCCAGTGAAGGACGCTCTTAGGGATATAATGGTAGAGAATATAATCTCTGCTTACCATGAATTTACAATATGACTGGGTAAAGAAAACAAGCAGATTTAAAGCAAAACACAAAAGCTCAATGGCTAAAACTGAACGCTATAGGAGATCTGAGACTAAAGGGAACTATAAGAATCGTCATGGCCAGAAAATAACATTTCATAAAAGGTTAATTTAAAGAGAATGTGGGAATGGAACGTATTTCAGTGGTTCCCCTTGTCCCTGCAAATTAGCTTCCCTACACAGCTGAACTGGCACAGAGATAGGTAACTGTGCAGCATATCAATTGTTTAGGATACAAGAGCTTAATGTGATGAAAAATGATATAGGTTGTTTTGAATATTGTAGTTGTTAGCATGCAAATGGCAATTTAAATTATGAACATGTACAAACTTGAGCAACTAGACTTAGGGTCAGAAGCAAAGGACCAAGGATGTAGTACTGAGTGATGCAGGAAAATTACTCATTTCATTCACTCAGTGGCTAATGAATAGTTAACAGTATCAAGGCAGCTTGAGTGAGATAAAAATTAACATTGGATTAATAAGCGTCAAGTCATTGGTACCATTTGAGAAATGGGAACAAAGACCAGAATGAGTAGATTTGTTAAATAAAATTGGCAGCAATTTTTGGAGAGATAAATATTTAAAAAAAAATGTGAGAGAGAGTTTGCATGTTACCTAGAACATTCTGAAAGTGCTCACCAATCTTATTCTTTCAAAAGGAAAAAAAAATCATTGCTTTGGTGGCTATTGTGACATATCATAATAGAGAA
The DNA here is from genome assembly GCF_000001405.40 of Homo sapiens. Lineage (NCBI taxonomy): Eukaryota > Metazoa > Chordata > Mammalia > Primates > Hominidae > Homo > Homo sapiens. Next base: position 41,152,192 of record NC_000012.12, on the reverse strand, counting down.
AAAAATCTTCAAAAAATTATCATTTTTCTCCTGTTAAAAAAGTAAAGCTAACCATGAACAAAGAAGACTGGATGTTTGGTATTCCATAAGTGAATAATGCACATTTTCATGGGATTCTTCCACACCATGATGTAGCACGAAAGATGACTAATTCAGTTGTCAGAACACAGCAGCTCATCAACGTTAAAAGAGCTTAGGACATCACAAGTTTGTTTTGCTGTAATACTTATGTAAGTAGCCAAACATTACTCATTCTCCCTGCTAACCTGTGTTCAACTTGTTCTTTCGTATTCATCACTAACCCAAATATGCTAACTTGAAAAGTTAGAAAAGAAATTTTTAAAAAGTCAAGATATTTAAAGGAAAACTATGCCTTAAGTTCAGTGAAATATATGAAACCATACAGTGGCTAAAAACAAATACCAAAATTGGAGTCAATTTATTTAATAATAATAAAATAATGAAGTGATAAAAATGGAATAAATAACAAAATACATGATTAAATATATTGATATTTTATTTAAACAAAATATTTCAATAAAATTAGAGCTTCAGAAAAAAAAAAACAAAGAAGATGGGCTTATCTAAGAAATAATACAAGAAATATTCTTAGAATAGACACATGTGAGTCTCTAAACTAGAAGAGATCATTGAATTTTTGACCAATGAATGGAAGATGACATCAGGCACATCATTAGGAATATTGGAAACTAAGGGGAAAACAAGAACCCTAAAATCTTCTGGGGAGTGGGGAATAAAAGCTGGTAACCTAGATAAGATTGAGAATCAGCATGACCTTGGGTTCCTCATCAATGTTGGAAGCTTAAAGGCCATAGAGTAATGATTTCAAAATCCTGTTGGAAAGTTATTTCTGAGCTTCAAATCTGTAGCCAGACATTATTAAACACATATGAGAATAAAGACATTTCAGGCACTCACATTTCACAAATAATTTGTCTTCCATATACACATGCTTTGGAAACTATTATCAGGATATATTCCACCAAAATGAGGGAGTGAATAAAGAGAACAACTTGGACATTAAATGTTGGAGCAAAGAAAACTGGAATCATCATAAAAGAGCCCAGGGAGATCTCACGTCGGTAGCTGAGTTGCAGGCCTAGAAAACAGCAGTATATTTGGAAGACCAGCAGGAATGTCTTTATTGAAAACAACAACAAACTGGAATGAAAAGTTTATTTAACGTGTGACCATGTAGAATGTAGTGTTCAGAAGGGTTCAGAGTTCTGCCTGAGTATTTGAAAGAACTGGTAACAAAGGAATAAATGATAACTAATAAATAATGACCATTATTAATTCCAGAAGAAAATATGTTGCACAAGAAAGAAAATATGTATCTCTTGATTTGTCAATGAATGACATTAGCATAATGATAAAAAGGTAATTTCTGAATATTAAGAACTAAAATGTTTAGAAAAATGAAAGAACAAAAAATTAAGAGAAATGGGAAAATATTAAGTTCATGTATTCCATATTAGAAGGTCAGTAGATAATATCTTAGAGAATATTAGATAAATATCTTAAATTTTAGAGGAAATGCAAGAAAAAATAGCTAGAGATGAAAAAGATTGCTTCTAGGGTATGAGTTTGGATGATGGAGTTACAGGGGTTCCTGTTATTAGCTGTAAGCTTAACAGCAATATTTTATTTTTAAATTAATAACATGTTATTTTGATACAAAAAAACTAATAAAAATTGATATAGAAGCCACTACATATTTATAAACAGGAAACTGTTGTGTTGTGGCTTATGTTTTCAATGTCAATAATATATTAAATGAAAAAGAAACAAGATATAAAATGTATAGGAAGATCTCTTCAAGGATGTATACAATCTGTACTTAACAGCAATTAACTCTGGCTGGCAGAATGTTGAGTGATTTTTAAATGAGTGTAGACTGGGCACAGTGGCTCACACCTGTAATCCCAGCAATTTGGGATGCCAAGGGGGGTGGATCACCTGAGGTCAGGAGTTCAAGACTAGCGTGGCCAACATGAAAAAACCCAGCCTCTACTAAAATACAAAATACAAAAATTAGCCAATCATGGTAGCAGGCACCTGTAATCCCAGCTCTTTGGGAGGCTGAGGCATGAGAATCGCTTGAACCCGGAAGGTGGAGGTTGCAGTGATCCAAGATTGTGCCACTGCACTCCAGCCTGGGCGACAGAGGGAGATTCTGTCTCAAAATAAATAAATAAATTAAATAAATAAAAATGATGAGTGCATTTTATTATTTTTCTATAACTAACTTGTATTACTTGTCTAATGCCTGGAAAAATAAAATGCTTGGACGTCAGGGACGCTCAGGCAGGAGCTAACCAGATAAAGCTTAAGCTTGAGGGCCTCTCACTAGCACAAGGCAATGCATTTCATGTTCTGTTGTCTTTTGCTCTCCCCCTACCTATTGTGTAAGCTTAGGTCCCACAAAACCTAGATCTGCCTTAGACTTAGGTTCAGATTTTACCCCTGCTACTTACTATGGTGTGATCTTAGGGAAGTTACTTATAATTTAGGCAACTACTCTATAATGTCCTTATTTGGAAAGTGAAGATACTGTAATTTCAATATCAGAGTAAGGTGATATGGTTTGGCTGTGTCCCCACCCAAATCTCATCTTGAACTGTAGTTTCCATAATTCCCATGTATCGTGGGAGGGACCTGGTGGGAAGTGATTGGATCATGGGGGTGGTTTCCCCTATGCTGTTCTCATGATAGTGAGTGAGTTCTCATGAGAACTGACAGTTTTGTAAGTGTTTGGTATTTCCTCTGCTTGCATTCATTCCCTCCTGCCACTCTGTGATGTGGTACATTCTGCCACGATTGTAAATTTCCTGCGGCCTCACAGGTATGAGGAACTGTGAGTCAATTAAACCTCTTTCCTTTATAAATTACCCAGTCTTGGGTATTTCTTCATAGCAGTGTGAGAATAGACAAATATAGTAAATTGATATGAGGTAGTGGGGTGCTGCTGTAAAGATATCTAAAAATGTGTAAGCAACTTTGGAACTGGGTAACGGCAGAGGCTGGAACAGTTTGGAGGGCTCTGAAGAAGACAGTAAGATATGGGAAAGTTTGAAACTTCCTAGTGACTTGTTGAGAGGTTTTGACCAAAATGCTGATAGTGATATGGGCAATGAAGTCCAGGCTGTGTTGGTCTCAGATGGAGATGAGGAACTTCTTGGGAACTGGAGCAAAGGTCATTCCTGTTATGCTTTAGCAAAGAGACTGGAAGCATTTTGCCCCTGCCCTAGGGATCAGTGGAACTTCAAACTTGAGAGAGATGATTTAGGGTATCTGGTGGAAGAAATTTCTTTTCCTTTTTTGTTTGAGACAGAGTCGTACTCTGTTGCCAGGCTGGAGTGAAGTGGTGTGATCTTGGCTCACAGCAACCTCCACCTCCTGGGTTTAAGTGATTCTCCTAACTCAGCCTCCTGAGTAGCTGGGATTACAGGCACCTGCCACCATGCCCAGCTAATTTTTGTATTTTTAGTAGAGACAGGGTTTCACCACAAGAGCACCAAAGTTTGGAAAATTTGCAGACTGAGGATGTGATAGAAAAGAAAAACCCATTTTCTGGGGAGAAATTTAAGCCTGCTGCATAAATTTGCATAATCAATTAGCATCTGAATGTTAATCACCACGACAATGGGCAAAATGTCTCCAGGGCATGTCAGAGACCTTCACAGAAGCCCCTCCTATCACAAGCCTGGAGGCATAGGAGGGAAAAAATGGTTTCCTGAGCTGGGCCCAGGGCTCCCCTGCTCTGTGCAGCCTAGGGATATGGTACCCTGCATCCCAAGTGCTTCAGCTCCAGCTTTGGCTAAAAGGGTCCAAGGTACAGCTCATGCCATTGCTTCAGAGGGTGCAAGCCCCAAGCTTTGGTGGCTTCCATGTGGTGTTGAGCCTGTGGGTACATGGAGGTCAAAAATTAAAATCTGGGAACCTCCACCTAGATTTCAGAGGATGTATGGAAATGTCTGGATGTCCAGGCAGAAGTTTGCTGCAGAAGCAGAACCCTCATGGTGAACCTCTGCTAGGATGGTGCAGAAAGGAAATGTGGGGTTGGAGCCCCCACACAGAGTCCCCACTGGGTCGCTGCCTAGTGGACCTGTGAGAAGAGGGCCACTGTCCTCCAGACCCGAGAATGGTAGATCCACTGACGGTTTGCACTGTGTGCCTGGAAAAGCTGCAGACATTCAACACCAGCTCATGAAAGCAGCCAGGAGGGGGCTGTACTCTGCAAAGCCAAGGCCTTGGGAGCCCACCTCTTGCATCAATGTGAAATATGGTGTCAAGGGAGATCATTTTGGAACTTTAAGGTTTAATGACTACCTATTGGATGTCATACTTGCATGGGAATTGTAGTCCCTTCATCCTGGCCATTTTTTCCCATTCAGAACATGTCTATTTACCCAATGCCTGTACTCTCATTGTATTTAGGAAGTAACTAACTTGCTTTTGATTTTACAGGCTCATAGACAGCAGGAACTTGCCTTATATCAGATGAGACTTTGGACTTGGACTTTTGGGTTAATGCTGGAATGAGTTAAAATTTGTGGGGCTGTTGGAAAGGGATTATTGTGTTTTGAAATGTGAACAAATGAGACTGGGATGGGCCAGGGATGGAATGATATGGTTTGGCTGTATCCCTACCAAAATGTCATCTTGAATTGTAGTTCCCATAATCCCAATGTGTCATGGGAGGGACCTGGTGGAACATGATTGGATCATGGGGGTGGTTTCCCTCATGTTAGTCTTGTGATAGTGAGTGAGTTCTCATTAGATCTGATGGTTTTATAAGTGTCTGGCACTTCCCCTGCTTGCACTCACTCCCTGCTGCCTCCCTGTGAAGAGGTGCCTTCTGCCATGATTGTAAGTTTCCTGAGGCCTCCCTAGCAATGTGGAACTGTGAGTCAATTAAACCTCTTTCCTTTGTAAATTGCCCAGTCTCAGGTTTTTCTTCATAGTAGTGTGAGAACCAACTAAAACATAAGGATTAGATTACATCCAAAAAATAAAATGTCTTTCACTGGGCCTGGCATATGATAGACACTCTCTAATGTTAGTTCCTCAATGTTTAACATCTTTTAAAGAATAAGTTGTAAAAAGAACTTTATGCTCCTTAAGATATCAGAACTATCCTTAAATTGCAGCTGAATATACTATAAATGTTTTGTCGTGGAACATGCAGAACTCTTTAGCTACTCTGGCAGGCTTCTCTGGATGGCCTAATTTATGCTTTGTTTGTAATTACATATATTTTGCTTGTTTATTTTAACTAAATACATGTCATTGGCCTTCTATCCCCATGAAAGAGAAAAATATGGTCATCTGTGAAAACCCTGTATACTATATTAGTTTTCCTAGGGCTGTTGTAACAAGGTGCCACAAACTGGGTGGCTTAAAACAACAGAAGTGTATTCACTCACAGTTCTAGAGGCAAGCAGTTCAATAGAAAGTTGTCAGCAGGGCCACACTCCCTCCTAAGGTTCTTGGGGAGAATCCTTCCTTGCCTCTTCCTAGCTTCTGGTGGATGCAACAATCCTTGGAGTTCCTCCTCTCATAGCTGCATCACTCCATTCTTTGCTCCCATCGTTATCACATGACTCTTTCCCTCTGTGTGTGTGTGTGTGTGTGTGTGTGTGTGTGTGTCTGTCTGTCTGTCTGTCTCCAAATTCCTTTTTTCTTTTAACGTCATCAGTCATTGGACTTAAGGCTCAGACTAATCCAGTATGATCTCACTTTAACTTGATTCATTGTAAAGACTATATTTCCAAATAAGGTCACATTCACAGGTACATATCTTTAGGAGGACACAATTCAACCCCACAACACATACCAATTATGTTAGCCATCCTGAGATACACTTAGCTTCAAACTTTATTCTATTTTAATTGGCACATTTTTCTAATTTCTAGGAAAAAAGGAAAGGTTTTATGAAGTCTTAACAGAAATTTAATGAATCCAACATCACTTTAATTTGAAGGTGGTTTTTAAATGGATTTTACTTTTTCAAATAATATTGAATTTAGTTTTTATGATATGGGTACCTTTTTGATTTTGCATATTTTTCTATGTAAGTGGAACAATTTATGAAAAAATATCCAAGTATCAATAATGGCTTCTGCTTTACAAAAATGTAATGTGAAGAAATGTTTTAGCAAGTGTTAAAGTACATTAAATTATCAACCTAGTTTTTCACTCATGATAAAAAGTAAACTGATTGCTAAGGCTTGAATCTAAATCTAAATTAAAGTTTACTTTGGAAACCTGTAATAAAACCTTGATATCTCAAACTCCATTTCATGAGTCATACCCAGTATTCCCTTGAGGCTAGCAGGATGAAAAAGTTTACTATAGCTAAGCAGTTTAGGTCAAATCGATGGGCATACCACAAAATAAACTTAATGGGCCCTAATAAAAATTGCTTTATGCAATAGATCCTAAATTAGGAGTGCAAGCACTGCCTATTTGAATATTACATTGAAGACAGTGACTTACCTAATTTGAAAAAATTGAGCTAATTGCTTTCTGCTTTATAGCTGTGTTTTACTGTTAATCAAATGAAATATATATATGTACATATATGTATGTATGCATATATAGGTGCATATATTATTTCTGATTCTTTTTTGAATTTCATATCAAACCACAGTTATGTGTATGTTTCAAAAAGTAATATATTAATATTTTTATTACTTATCTATGAAAATATTAAATATCTTCTAATTATCAAACTGAGACTTTTTATATGTATATATTTAGTTGTTCTTTCCACAGCTTTCAAATTGGGTATTTTTTGTGTTTCATAATGTTGCACTCAACCTAATTTTGCTTTGAATACCAAACACGGGATAGATTTTTCAGAAGAACGTCATAAGTTTCTTAATGTCAGGCACTGAGGCCTATTTGACTACTTGTATCTTCAGTGCCTAGCATAACCTGGCACACAGTAGGTAGTTGATAAATGGTTTTGATTGAAGGAATGACACTGGCATGGTGAAAATGGAATGTTTGCCTGTAGCTAGAAAACACCCTCTCAATTCCATAAGTTTAGAAATGGAGAGTGGAAAACGTATCTTCTTAGGCATCTATGGACTTGTTCCGAAATGCCCTTGGCATGACTTTTAAACCCAGAGGCACCTCAGATGGTACTGGACTATTTTAAATAAAAATATTTGTGTTTCAATCAGAATCCAGGCATGAGACAAATGAGGTAATTGGGGAGAGTTTAAGGACAGAACTATTTAGAAAGTCGTGGGCAGAGTAAAGAGCATGGGACAAGGGATTGCGTCTAAGGGTGAGGGGAGAACTATTATCACCTCTAGACCTCAAGGAGAAAGGGGAAGGAGCAATTACAAAAACCTGAGAGATCTTTCCACAGAGGAGCACAGCCATTGCAACCCATTCCCAGGAGGAGGAGTCGGAGAATAAACACCTGTTCTCCAGCTTCCCTTACTTCTGGATCTCCTATCGGTGCTTTTATTCCCTGGACCCAGCAATCAACAAAGGGTCACAGAACAGGACGGAAAGGGAAGAAAGTCTGGAGGGACTGATGGTGCATATCTAGTGGGCTTTTCTTTTTCATTTTACTGTTTGACATATAGTCTAAGCTAAAGGATAAAGAAAACTTTCTTAGATACCTTCCAAAGGATATTTATTTAGTAAGCATAGAAGAGGTTTAATACAGTTCTAGAGACAACTAAGAAACTTTGTAGTCTAGAACACCTAAAATTGGTATTCCCAATGATCCATCAATTCACTATTTATATAGAGCATGTTTCATGCCAGGTACTGTGCTGGCGGTGAAAAGATACACAAGACAGACATGCCCTGCCCATATAAAATTCACATGTTGGAGGGGATGTAGACAATACTAACTAGAAAGAGAAGCAGGATGACTGTTGGTTATAAGCATCGCAAAGCTAATAAACATGGAAAGAAGATAGAAAATAACCGGGTAGGCCACTTTAGGAAACAATGGGAAAACCTCTCTGAAAAAGAAACCTGAAGCAAAATCAACAGCCATTCCATTGGTTTTCTAACACCGGGTTGTGGGTCATAAACATGATTTAGAGCGCCCCGAATGGCATTTTCTCTTTATATAAATAGAATACAACTGATCGAAGTTCTTCACACATACTAACTGAGAGAGTGGTCTGTGAGACTCTGCTTTCTTATCTGTGGACACGCTATGTTTGTGGGCTGGATTTTTAATGTAAACTTACTCTTTAGGTGGATTATAACCTAACACTGCAGCATCTAATCTGCCCTTTCTTCAGACCTCACCCTCCAGATCTCTTCCATTTTGCCCTTTGGAACAAATAGCCAATCCCTTTTTCAGTAACTTATTTTCTGAACATTCCTTCTCTTCTCTTGTCTTATATGAAATGTGGCCGGGCGCGGTGGCTCACGCCTGTAATCCCAGCACTTTGGGAGGCCGAGGCGGGTGGATCACGAGGTCAGGAGATCCAGACCACGGTGAAACCCCATCTCTACTAAAAATACAAAAAATTAGCAGGGCGCGATGGCAGGCTCCTGTAGTCCCAGCTACTCGGGAGACTGAGGCAGGAGGATGGCGTGAACCCGGGAGGCGGAGCTTGCGGTGAGCAGGTGAGCCGAAATCGCGCCACTGCACTCCAGCCTGGGCGACAGCGAGACTCTGTCTCAAAAAAAAAAAAAAGAAAAAAAGAAATGTGGCCATCGAATCCTGCTGACACTGCATACCTGGCAAGACTCTGGAGTAAAGAGTATTTTGTTTTGTTTTTGTTTTCCTTGAACATACCTCAGGGCTCAGAAAAGGGGAAGGCGTGTCTTCTGCCATTCCTGGGGCTGTTTCCACGCATTCTCCATCCTTCTCATTCCAATACAGCAGGCTCTTTGAAATTTGTGCCAGCAAGCTTTATCAACTGCCACCCTCCTTCTGAGTTTCACCTGTCAGCCTCCAGGCCACACCCCTTTCATTCATGGTGACTTCAGTGGTTGTTCCCTGCCTTCCTCAGCATACTCACTCTGGAACTGTTCCTGCTGATTCTATGTCTGCTTGGATGATCTACCAAATACCTTGCTTTCTTAATTCCTTGACCTCACCAGTATTTTTTAAAAATTTCACCCCATCTCATTTAACAATAACATGGTCTTTCCACATTATAATTATATGAAACTTAAACACCACCAGAATTTTTATTTCAATCTTTTGACTTTCACTGCCCCCCTCCTACAGTTAGCTTACTTAGTCTTGTTCTCCTACTCTAGCAATTCTTTGCCTTCATTGAAACCTTTAATTCTTTACAACTGTTTTCTATAGCAACTACATTCCTGTAATTCTCATTGCTATGGTTATACAGCTTAGATTTCATGGCCAATAATTAAAAATACTTACTTGTAAAAACTCTTAATTTTCATGCATCTGTCTCCTTCCTTCAATATCTGCCTGGAAAACTCCAAGGGTGGTAAACCTCAGCCATTCTGATAGATGCAGGAGGCAGATAAGGGAGGATCCCCAGAGGATCTCCAACCTGCTCCACAGGTGTTTACATCACATGCTTTTATGCAGATTAGGGAAACTGCTCCAGGCCTTGTCTGTGCATGCCCACAACAGACTGGGGGCCCACCTGTACACTGGAAAAATGGGGTGGAGCCACCGGTGCTTTGCACCTTATGCAGTGGGGAGGAGCCTGGCCTCTTCAGCTCTTGTGTGTGGTGGCCTGGTATTCAATCTGTGAGGTAGGAGCCTGTTGGCAGGACCCCTTCTTTTTACCACTGAGAACTTTCTTTTAATAAATTCTGCTCTCCTTGCCTTTCAATGTGTCTGCATGCCTAATCTTTCCTGGTCGTGTGACAAGAACCCAGATGTTCGCTGAACTAAGGAGCAAAAAAATCCTGCATCAATTCCCATATTAAATACTTGAGCATATAAATGTTGCTGGAAAAAACACACAACTGTACCAAGTAGTCTCACCTTATATTCACAACCACAAATCTCAAGTGAGGGCTCAACTTTGGTCAGAAATCCTACTCTGTCACTCTGGAACATATGTTCTCCTATTATCTAAAATATTTATTTCAAATTACCTCCCTTTTTTCAAACTCCAACATTCTTCCTTCCTTTTTAGCTAATACCTTCAAGGGGAAAATAGGAGCAATTAGGCAGAAGCTCCCATACCTATATACCCCCAAATCCACCACTCTTCTGCAGCCTGTGTCTGTCCTGTTACAACAGATGCAGTGCCCCCACATCTGTTGTAACACATCAAAGGGTACACTCCCTCACTTACTCCTTGATCCTGTCCTCTAATCCCCTAACACCCTCTCAAGAGCCTCCCACCCCGTCCCTTCCCTCTCCTGCATCCCCAATGTCACCATCTCTGCTACTCTGCTGGTTCATTTTCCTCAGCACACATACATATTGTAGGAATTTGTTCCTTCAGCTCTTCCAGCATATTTCTGGTATTCTTAAAAATAGAATCTTGAAAATCGTACCAGTGTAATCTCTCTACTAAATAATTTCTCTTTCTTATTTTCAACTTACTCCAGTACAATTTCTATCTCTATCACTATCCTAAAATTGATACCATCAAAGTGTTAAAGTCTTCCTCATTTCCAAACCCAATAGTTATACTTGCGGCCTCATCTTACTCAACTTCTCCAACTATTCAACATAATTATATATTCTCTGATTATTGAACCCTTTCTTCGTTTGGCTTTTGAAATATCACACTCTAGTGTTTATCTTCTATCACACTGACATCTTTTTTAGTTTCCTCTGCTGACTTTTCTTCCTTGTCTTAATCTCTAGATGGCCAGAGCTTTTTCTTCTGTGTGTGTTTTTTGGCTGGGTAATATCCTCCAGCTCAGGGCTTTAAATAGTATCTGCATGATGATTTACAACAAGTTTATAGCTTCACCCCAGACTGGTCTCCTGGGCTGCAGACTTGAATATGTAATTGCTCACTTGACATACCCACCTGCATGTCCAGTAGTCATCTCAAGCTTAGAATGATCCGAAGGAAACTCTTATTTATTTATTTATTTATTTATTTTTGAGACAGAGTCTCACTCCATCACCCAGACTGGAGTGCAGTGGCACGATCTAAACTCACTGCAACCTCTGCCTCCCAGATTCAAGAGATTCTCCTGCCTCAGCCTCCTGAGTAGCTGGGACTACAGGCATGTGCCACCACACCTGGCTAATTTCTGTATTTTTAGTAGAGATGGAGTGTGACCATGTTGGCCAGGTTGGTCTTGAATGCCTGACCTCAGGTGATCCACCAACCCTGGCTCCCCAAAGTGTTGGGATTACAGGCATTAGCCACCAGGCCCAGCCCAAAGGAAACTCTTAATTCACTCCAGTCAATCAAAACTTGTTTTTCTCACAGTCATACCCATCAGAAAATTTCATCTTCATCCACTTAATTGTTTAAGCTAAAAACCTATGAATCATTCTTGCTTTCTCTTTTTCTTCATCTCATCTTATTGATTAGCAAGCCATTTCTCTATCTCCAGATGTCCTGTTTGTTACATCTACGGTGATACCAGCCTGGTTACCTGGTTACCAAATTCTCTAACCTGAGCTGTTTCAGGTTTTCTGTGACCTGATTTCACTGCTTCCCTCCTGCAAGTTAAAGTTATTTTTAGATACTTATATCTGAACATAGCACTCATCTACTTAGTCTACTTTAATGGTTTATGATTAAGTGTAAAATAAAACCCAAAATCCTTACCCTGAAATAGAGGTCCTACCTCATCTGGCCCCTGCTTCCCTCTCTGCCTTACCTCTTATTATTCTTGCCTTCACTCACCAAGTTCTAATCACTGTGACCTTCTTTCTATGCTGTTTATATGCTATATTTACTCCTTCCTGTACTCTCAGCTTAGAAAATTCCTCCTCTGAATCATCACTAGTGTTTTTTGTTTTTTTTGGTTTCTTTTTTTGTCACTAAGATCTTAGCTTAGATGCAACTTCCTTATAGAGGCCTTTTTTGAACCATTAATTTAAATCAATGCCCCAAACACTCTTTACTACATCCCCTTGATTAATTGCATCATAGCTCTAATCACTATCTGATGTATTCTTGTTGGTTTGTTTATTGTCTGTTCTTTGCATTAGGTTGTTGGTTTCATGAGAGCAGGGCCTGCATTTTTGTTTTCTGAACTTCTAACAATGCCTGCCCTATCGTGATTTCATAATACACTTGAACATATGAAAGAATGCTTCAGATCTTTGTTTTAGTATGATTTATTATTGTTTTCATGGCTTCATGGCTTTCTTTGCCTCTGTCTTCCACATAGCAGTTGCAATGGAGAAACTCACAGTTTATAGATCCAACAGCTTGAGATCGCTCTTTCTTTTCCTTCCTTTCTCTTTTAAGCCAAATTTTAGGCCCTGTGCAGTGGCTCCTTCCTGTAATCCCAACACTTTGAGAGGCCAAACCAGGCAGATCACTTGAGCCTCAGGAGTTTAAGACCAGCCTGGGCAACATGGTGAAACCCCATCTCACAATTAAAAAAAAAAAAAAAAAAGTTTGCCAGGTGTGGTGGCATGAGCCTGTAGCCACAGTTACTCAGTTACTGGGAAGGATGAGGTGGGAGGATCACCAGAGCCTAGGGAAGTCAAGGCTGCAGTGCAGTGAGCCATGATTGTGTCATGGCACTCCAGCCTAGGTGACAGAGTAAGACCCTGTCTCAAAATAAATAATTAATTAATTAATTTTAAAAAAATTAAGCCACATTTTAAATTCTGATGGAAGGGATGTTGCTGTTAAAGATTTTGTTACCATTATTATTATTTTATTATACTTTATGTTCTGGGTTACATGTGCAGAATGTGCAGTTTTGTTACATAGGTATACAGTGCCCTCTTGGTTTGCTGCACCCATCAACCCGTCACCTACATTGGGTATTTCTCCTAATGTTACCCTTCCCCTTGCCCCTCAACCCCCGACAGGCCCCAGTGTGTGATGTTCCCCTCCCTGTGTCCTGTGTTCTCAGTGTTCAACTCCCACTTATAAGTGAGAACATGCATTGTTTGGTTTTCTGATCTTGTGATAGTTTGCTGAGAATGATGGTTTCCAGCTTCATCCATGTCCCTGCAAAGGACATGAACTCATCCTTTTTTATGGCTGCATAGTATTCCATGGTGTATACGTGCCACATTTGCTTTATCCAGTCTTACATTGATGGGCATTCGGGTTGGTTCTAAGTCTGCTATGTGAATAGTGCTGCAATAAACATACGTGTGCATGTGTCTTTATAGCAGCATGATTTATAATCCTTTGGGTATATGCCCAGTAATGGGATTGCTGGGACAAATGGCATTTCTAGTTCAGATTCTTGAGAAATAACCACACTGTCTTCCACAATGGTTGAAGTAATTTACACTCCCACCAACTGTGTAAAAGCATTCCCATTTCTCCACAACCTCTCCAGCACCTGTTTTTTCCTGACTTTTTAATGATTGCCATTCTAACTGGCATGAGATGGTATCTCATTGTGGTTTTGATTTGCATTTCCCTAATGACCAGTGATGATGAGCATTTTTTCATACTTCTGTTGGCTGCATAAATGTCTTCTTTTGAGAAGTGTCTGTTCACATCCTTTGCCCATTTTTTGATGGGGTTGTTTGTTTTTTTTCTCATAAATTTATTTAAGTTCTTTGTAGATTCTGGATATTAGCCCTTTGTCAGACGGATAGATTGCAAAAATTTTCTCATGTTCTGTTGCCTGTTCACTCTGATGATGGTTTCTTTTGCTGTGCAGAAGCTGTTTAGTTTAATTAGATCCCATTTGTCAATTTTGGCTTTTGTTGCCATTGCTCTTGGTGTTTTAGGCATGAAGTCTTTGCCTATGCCTGTGTCCTGAATGGTATTATTATAAGCAGGACAGACATTCCAAAATGTCTTTGTGACCCAAGCTAAGTTCCTTTATGCCTCATGTCTTTGTGTTTGTTACATCTTATGTCTAGCATGTCTCTGTTTGACACCAATGCTCCCTCTCCAATTATGTATGAAATCTAACATTCCCATTGGGTCTTATTTGTGTTAGTTGCTTTTATGTTTGGGCCCCCTTTGCAAGCGTATATATCCATATCATAAGACTAATTATTGACTTTGCTATGAAGTTTTATTAATATGCCTGTCTCTCCAACTAAACATAGTGCTCTTAAAGGCTGTGAATCATATCATAATTTTTGCATATCCATGGCTGAGCACAGTGGAAGGCCCTAATTAGTATGATTTCTTCACATGTGGCAAAGCAAGTAGGCAGGCATAAAAATTAAATTTCATATAAATTTTGTAGCAGTGAATAGAACAGTGGGGCTAAGGAGGAGAAATAAGAGAGGGTTAGAAAAAGGAAGTTTTAAATTTACATATGAAAAGATTTGGGGGTCAAGGCATTGGAGTAAAGATTTTATAGGTGAAGAAAGAATAGGCTGGATTTAGTAACAGAAGGAAGGACCATATTGGGAGCATAGAAATCTTTTGCTGCCTAGTAATTCTCTCTCAATATTTCCTTTAAAAATCTTAGGAAAAAAGTATCAGAAATGTGATAGAGGTATAAATGTGCATGAAATCAGTAATATATTATGTTGGTGCAAAAGTAATTGTAGTTTTTTTTCCATTACTTTTAATGGCAAAATAATAAATAGAGAATTGTGAGTCATTGTTTGGCTTTTTCTTTACCACTGCAAATTATTCTAAATGATCACATTATACAACAGTAAGCATTGCAACAGAGTTTTCATATTTGCAGAAGGTGAGTTATTCCTACTGACGTGGGACAAACTCAGCCATCTGAACTTTTATGCGAAAGATACATTAAAATAAAAAGAAAGAAATGTTAATTAAAGAAAATAATAAGTGAAAATTAAAATTAAATAAAAAGGACAAAGAATACAACTATCAAGAATGCCAGGCCCCCATGGTCCACTCTGAATGTCTTTGGGTTTATGTTCAAGGAAATCCTATCTGGATTTGTATCTAGCGATGACACTTCCTAGATGTTAACTGGATAATTTACTTAACCTCTCTAAGCCTCTCATCTGTAAAATTAGGTTTTCAAGAGGATTACTTAAGAAAAACCCATATAAAGGCTGTATTAGTCACATCTTTTGAGTAGCAAGAAACTCAACACAAATTAACCTAGTTAAGAAAGAAAAGAATACAAAACATACTGACTCATGTAACTGAGAATTCCATGCAGAGTTGGACCTAGGAACTTAAATGATATCACCTAGGTTTGTCTGTGAGCTTAATTCTCAGGCAACATCTTTCTATATAGACAGAAAGAAGAATGCTGCCAGCCTCCAACCTGAATTCTTATATCTCATAGTCCAAAGAGAGTTGAGACCTTTCTCATAGTCTTTAGAAAGACTCTGATGCTTTCAGGCTAGGACACATATATGCTTCTGTATAAATCACAGTATCCTGAGGTGTGTAGAACTTCAGGTTAAGGATGCTCGTATACATATCTTTGGGAATGGGTAGGGCATCATAATTTACAGTTCTACCAGGAGCCCTTGGAGACAGAAAAGATGGTTTCCTGAGGGAATGGATAAGGACAGATATAACCATGATTTCTACTACTCTATAAATTGCCATACCTATGAGATGAAGGGCTTGTAAGGGAAGATGTATGTCAAACAGGCAGAAAATGTGACCTTATTCTCCCTTTCTGCCTCCCCTCTTTCCTCTCCCTTCTCTTCTTTCTTCTCTACAAAGTTTTCTCTTGGATTATTTGAGTCACTCTGCATTTTACCTAGAAATCATCTTAATTCTGCATCTCTCTGTGGCAAAGCTTAGTTAAGTGAATCTTGGCAGAAACTTTTAGGTAAAAATAGTTATGAAATTAGACACTCTGATAAATTTCTATAGTGCATTATCATCCTTATATTGGCACACAAATTGAGTTGTAGAAGCAAAACAAGTCAAGTCTAATATAATTCTCTCACAATAGTCACGGTTTTGTTTACAAATATCTCTACTTTAATGTTGCAGCTAGGTGGCGAACATTAAATAAACTTGTTTCCTTCAAAATATTTAAAGATTTAAAGATTATGGGCCCCAAAGACACAAATAAATAGATAGGAGGCAGAGACTTTTACTCTCCTTATTACTGGCCTCACAGCATGATGTCTGAATTGAGGTAGGTGCCTTGAAGGTTGACCCTCACTGGTGGAGTAGTGATTGCAAAACTTTTCAAACTGAGCAGTAAGCTTTTGATTGCACACACATAAAACCTGTAATTTCACATCATGGTAATATGGAACTATGTGGCAATATTTAAAAATTTTTGCTTGCAATATATCTTTCAAGACAGATTCTTAACATGTTTCATAAACCTTCACAACCACCCCTTGAGGTAAGTTTTGTCTTCGTTTTTTTTCCCCATCTCCAGTGAGGTCTATATTTTCCCTAGATTTGAAGTGCATCACTTCCATTGCCTGTAGATGCTTTCTGAATGCAATATCCATAAAACAATGCTTTTAATAAAATAAGGTGTTAGGCATGCAATTATCTCCTTTGTTAGATGTAGATATGTTCTAGGTTTTTACATAATCAGTAATGAGTCTTCAGCAATTTGGAAACAATAGTGGTAGCTAATGAGCAGAAGGAATTCTAATTATACGTGTATGTGTGTGGTTGGATGGGATTGTGGTTGGTGAGGTATAAATGTGTTTGCACAGAACTAGGCAGCATGTTAATTTCACCCCCTGCATTTCCTCCTCAATAAAGCAGGTGTTGGCAGTCACGGTGGGGTGTTGTGGGGCATGAGGTTCAAGATTGAGGCTATGCCAGTAGGACATGACATATCAGATATTTTGTTTTTACTTGAAAATGCTTCCCATTGTCCTGATTCAGCTAGGAACTAAGAGAGAACAGGATCAGTTCACTTTCTTAGACAGTCAATTTTCACAAACCTTACCAGTCAGGGTTTTTGCAAGTAATAGTTCCCAGAGACAAGGTTATGAGATACAACATTTTAATGCAGGGATACTATCAATCTGAAAATATAGCACAAAGATAAAGAATTATATTTTGGCATTTAAAAGCACATGATATAAACAATGATAAAGAAACAATTTAGATTGATTAGAAATGCACCTGACTGGGAGATATGAAATGGGTAAACCTGGCTACCACTTACTTAACCCTGAGCTAGTCCAGGCATATCTCCTACGCTGTTCTTTATCTACAAAATGAGTGGCTGGCTGCCATGATCTAAAGATCCATTCTGGTTACAACACAGATTGGAAAGTACCATTGGACAAATCATTTAATTCAGCTCTGCTTCCTCATTTGTAAAATAGCAGCAATACCTGCCTTGAGTTTCTCACGTAACTATTGTGCAATTAAATGAGATTATGCATATGAAAGCCCTTTACAAAATAACAATTTATTCAAAGGTTAACTTATTCTTACTACTAAAGTTAAATGAAACAACTAATTAATCGGAGGAGTTGGATACTGGTCTTATGACTTTTAAGTAATTTATCATTGGGAGTCTTCATTTGGAAATTCATCATATGAAGTATCAGAAAAAATTTGTCATCATTGCTGTACCCATTCACACTTTATCTGCAGCATTTTCTAATTTTCTGTACACTTTACTGCCTATTCTCTCACTTTTCCTCCAGTTACCCATCAAATATTCATCCATTCATTTTTTAAAAGTCAATACATAATAATAATACATAATGCATAGGCCTTATTTGCACACAAGATATTCTCAACGGAGGATACCTGCCATTTTATTTTTCTTTTTCAATGGGCTTTTCTCTGAATTTCTTCATTTACTTTACTTGAATTCCTTACATCTCTTTCTTGTATCCCATTTAATAAATCAGAAAACATTTACCAAGCACCTACTAAAAGGGTAGGGACAGTGCTGAATGCTGGCATACAGAGTCCTTGGAGAACTGACCCTTTATTGCAGAGATGAGTAAAGAAACTCTGACTTGCAGCAAAACATGATCAGTCTTCCATAGAGGTATACTTGAAGTGTAATGGAAGCACAGTGAAGAGTCAATCAGACAAGGAGGTGAAGAGAAGGGCCCTGAAGAAACATACCTGAGCTTAAGTTTGAAAGATGACTGGTATTTGACTAAACCAATATGGAGATAAACTATTCCAGGGACCAGCAGGTGAAGGCAAAGAAGAGTGTAATTACTTTGACGGAACCACAGGTGGATTGGTATAGATGGGGGAAAAATAGGTTCTGTGTGAGGGAATAATAGGATATAAGCTCCTGGAGAAAGCAGAGACCAGGCTCCTAACACTTATACACTAAGCTAAGTAGTTTGAACTTTGTTGTGAAGGTTTTGATGAATCATTATAAGGGCCTATACAGATCAAATAAATATTTCAGCAAGGTCACCCTAAGAGCCGTGTGCATAATGGACTTGCTTGAAGAAACTGGAGGCAACTCTACCACTGTGTTAAAGTTGCATTTTCTTCAACAGCAGTTCAACATCCAGAACTAAAAAAAATCATCAGCGCTAGAAATTAGAGGGAAGCTGTCATTTTATATGGAAAAGGACATCTTTAAGGGTAGTGAAATCTCAGCTTCCAAGTATGAATTTTGTGGTTTTCTTGGCAACCATATCTTTGCAAATATATTTTATTTTATTCCATTTTTGTAGAAACATGGTCTCACTCTGTTGCTCAGGCTTGAGTACAGTGATGCAATCAATCATAGCTCATTGTAACCTGGAACTTCTGGCCTCAAGTGATCCTTCCACCTCAGACTCCTGTGTAGCTGGGACTACAGGAGTGTGCCACCATGCCTGGCTAACTAAATGAAATGTTTTCTTTTGTAGGGATAGGGTCTCTCTATGTTGTCCAGGCTGTCTTGAATTCCTGGCCTCAAGCAATTCTCCCACTTCAGCCTCCCAAGTTGTGGAATTATAGGTGTGAACTACTGCACCCAGCTGCAAATATATTTTAAAATAGTCAAACATTTTAGATAGGTTTGCTATGTTATAGCTTATGCCAACCATGTTGCCAAATGCAAATTCAAGCAGAAACAGAACTTGATGGCCCAGAGAACAGCACTAGAGGGACTGTAGGGGGTTGGTCTGACCCTTCTTACTTTGGCAAATGGCTAGAAGAGTAATTAGGAAGCCATTGCCATTTTCTAGGAGATAATTAATGACAGACCGATCCAAAAAAATGGCAGAGAGGATGAGACTGGTAAAAGAGCTACCAAGGAGACAGATGGCATGGCATCAGGGCATCAGATAAACTTGAGCTGAAATCTCCAGTCTGCTAATAGTCATTGTGTAGGCTATTTGACCTCTTTGTTTCTTATTTTCCTTATATGTAAAATAGTGAAGATCTCATGGATGGTTTGAGGATTAAATGAGACAATGTATGTTAAATGCAAAGCACATCATACTCCGGTTTCTGGTTCAGTGGTGATAGAGAACAACTACTGCTGTGGTTTTCTTTTCATGTCTGCTTCTTTCCCTCTTTGTCCCCAAGGTTAAAGTTATTCTTATTCTTTTTCTCTTCTTCTTATTCCTGCCTTACTCTTCTTTTGCAAATCTGACCATCTCTTGTTACTTTTATTTTTATGAAGAACTACTCTGAGAAAATGAAGAAACGGCACTTTCTTGAAGATGTCACACTTTGTTTAGAAGAGGGTTCCTATCACCTTACTAGTTCTTCACTACAGGACAAGCAAGCTGGCCTGTCCCAAATCACCCTGAAGACTTGTGGTGAGGTTTGAAGGCATCATCTCCTCCATTCCGGGGCAGGGGCATTCCCTGTCTGCTCCACACTGGACTGGATCCTTCTGTTCTATGTTCCACAGCACCCTGTGCTCATTCCAACTTTAGGTCAAATGACATATCATAATGATCAGTTAACTGTGTGTCTCCCTCCTTCATTAATTCCCCAAGGGTGGAGTAGTGAATGTCACTGACTCAATACTGAGATTGATGACAAGTTTATTACTTATGATGCTTGCCCAACTGCTCACTCTTCCAAGGACAAATAGATATAAACTAGGTCTCGAGAGTGAATGTTTCTTTTTTTTTTCTTACAAGAAATAAATAAATAAATGAATAAACCTCCCCTTATTTGAGAAAAAAGGTATGTGTTGATGTTGGATTGGGGCGATGTCCTCATGGAGCAAACATTTTATGATAGTCCAATATACTAATGGGAAATGTCTATTACAGGAGACATTAAATCCCACATCTTAAATCACATGTAACACTTATGATACAGAAGGAAAATATGAACATTTTTATTTTCTATGAAGCATGTGTAAAATATGCTTGGCTACGTGGCTTAATAAATATTAATATAATGCAACCCTTTTGAAGAGTATAATATAAAATGAGAGTATCATATATGTATATATGTACATATACACATATACATGTATAGATATAAATATATTAGATCTTTACACCAACAATTCTTGTGGAACATGGCAACCAAATGATATCATTATGAGTTACCCTTGATTCTTCATGCAGGGGAACCTACTCTTCGGTCATGAAGTCCTTACAAACCAATGCTTTCATCTATAGAGTCTTGAGGCTAATTTATGTATTTGTTTCTTTAGAAGTTATATAATAACATGCAGAAAAGTAAAGTTAGCTTTACATGTTGTTCACTCTTTTGAAATAGTAGCTTTAGGTCTAATTTACTTCTAATATCATTAGCAAATATTTTCTGCAAAGATTTTACCCTTCTTTACATGGCTTTCTCAGACAATTGGAAGAAATGCCTTGTACTTATTGTGTTGTTTTGTTGTTTTTCCGTTCCAGACTGACCACTGATATCATGGATTCTCTATTTAACATAGAATGTATTACTAACTGAACCATGAGAAAATAAAATAAACTAATAGAAGCAGAAAATATAATAATGAAAAAAATCCAAGATAAAGTGTGCATTAGGCCATTCTTGCATTGCGATTTTCTGTTTTAGTCTGTTTTTGCACTGCTATAAAAAAAATACCTGAGACTGGGTAATTTATAAGAAAAGAGGTTTTATTGGCTCACGGTTCTGCAGGTTGTACAGGAAGCATAGTGGCATCTGCTTCTGGGGAGTCCTTAGAATCAGGCACTTCACATGGTGAAAGCAGGCGCAAGAGGGAGAGTGTGTGCCACACACTTTTAAACAGCCAGATCCTAAAAGAAGTCTCTCACTATCATGAGGACAGCACCAAGAGGATGGTGCTAAACCATTCATGGGAAATCCACCCCCATGATCCATTCACCTGCCACCAGGTCCCACCACCAATATTAAGGACTACAATTCAACATAACTTTTGGGCAGGGACAAATATACAAACTATATCATTCTCCCTTTTGATACAGGCATTTTATTATTTTTATTTTGTTCAAATAGAACGCTTTTCCTGTAAGTTACTCAAGGCATCCTAAAAATCTGAGTTAACATGCCCTGACTCTCATGACACAGGACTACAGATCTTGAAATACAGAGCTTAGTCTGCTAGGGCTGTCATAACAAAATTCTACAGCTTGTGTGGCTTAAACTACAGAGATTTATTTTCTCACAGTTCTGAAGGCTAGAAGTCCAAGAGGAAGGTTCCTTCAGGGTTGATTTTTGGTGAGGTCTCTCTTCTTGGCTTGCAGATGCCTGCCTTCTTATTGGATCCTGGCATGGCTTTTTCTCTTGATGCATGCTGAGAGCAAGAAGAATCTCATGCCTCTTCATCTTCTTATGAAGACACCAGGCATATTGAAATATGGCTCCCCCCTTATCACCTCATTTAATCTTAATAACCTCCTTTAAGGTCCAATATCTACTTACTGTCACAATGGGGGTTAAGATTTCAACCTATGAATTCTCAGGGGACAAAATTCCATTCATAACATAAAGGATAAAATTAATAGGTCTAATAAGTTGAAATGATTTTTTGTAATAATTTCTTTAGTCATTATAAAATTCATGTGGCTGTGCTCTGCTATGGCATATTCAAAAGGGAAGGAAATTCAAAAGGGAAGGAAACTCCAAAGTTAAAACTCTATATTAGAAAATCTTGTGTATAAATTTAGGTCCAAATATTGACTGAGAAGCCCTTGGCTGACTGTTGAGAAGATTTAAATCCATAAACATGGGAGAAAAACTGTTGTACTTTCCTTTGCCACAGCTTTCCTTTACTTTATGAGTTCTCTCTCATCTCTGGGATTTTTTTCCCCATCACTCAGAGAGATATTTTCTAGATCATGCCAGTCACAAGAGAAGATTTATTGACTGTGATCAGTACTAAGCATGACAATTACTACACTATAAACTACACTAAAACTTTAAAGCCATTTGAAAGTGGAAGGCAAAGAGACATCTACTTCAAGCCTCTGCAAAAATTATAAGCTCCAGTTCAGCTTTTCTATGATATTTATAAAATTCACAAAGAAATTTCACAGATATTATCCTTTGAAGCTCAAATTATGCCATGAGAGGGGGGAGAAAAATATTCTTATTTTACAAAGAAAAAAAAAGCTGTCCTAATTACCAGAGGCAAAATTGAAACCTGGTTTTACTAACTACAACTCCAATACATTTTAGAATTCATTTACATACATTTTACTGATGCCTTTTCATTCAGAAGCTTGTTGCTTCTTCAGTTTCTTCAAACTTTCTACCCAACCCCAAAAGAATAAATATGATCAAAGGAAAAACAAATACATGAGTATTTTATTACAAGTACTCCAAAAATAATTGTTTCTTTTCTAGAAGAAAAGGGAATTATAAAAATTGAGATCCAGAATCAGCCAGTTTTCAAGGAGGCTTCATATTCTCAGGCATTCTTTTTCTATAGTAATCTTTACAAAATGTTCACTTCATCAAAATCCTCTGCATAAAATGCTTCCATGTTTATCCTATATCTACATCTAGAAGAAAATACATTCCCATTAGGATGCTAAACAAGATACAGACTTTGTCTACCTCTCAAGCTTTGCTAATTTAGTTTCCATTCTTGATGTTCTTCAAAAAAAGCTTCCTTTTTCCTATCTCAATACCTACTCATCCTTCAAGAATCAGCTCCAATATCACCCTAATTTGCAAAGTTTATCCTTGGGTTTCACAAGAAAAACTGAATTGTGTTTCTCTTCCTACTCTAAACAATGATTTCTTTTAATTTTGATTTTTAATTTTTCTCTCTGCAATCTTGAGTAAAGGCTGGGGAGGCCAGCCACTCTGTTCTATGTATCTTTAGATTCCAACACCTTGTCCTAGGTATGTAATAAATGTTTATTAAATAAACCAATGAATTAATAAACTAAAACAAAGACACAGGCTGGATATATGGAGGCGACATCTTGTCAAGAGGTAAAAAAAATGGACTTTAGATTGGATCTATGTTTGAGTCCCACTTTTGACACACATTACCTAATACTAACCATGGAAAACTTACCTTATCTCTCTGTTTCAACATCTATATAATAAAGATACACAAAGGAGCCTGGGATGGTTAGCACTGGGCCTGGTTCATGAACTACTCAACATAGGCATCATTTTAATTGTAATAATAATAAATTTTACTGAGGGAATGGCTAATAGGGTATAGTTGGTGCATAGCCACTCTAAGCAAGAGGAATAGGTCAAACCTATTGCTAAAGGACAGAGAAAGAGGTTTCACAGTATGTCATATTATAATTCTTTGAGAAACTGCTCTCCCTGCCAACAACCCTGCCTGTATGATGGATGAGGTGACATAAGACAAGCTGAGGTGAAGCCAAACAGAAAACAGGATGACTTTTTAAAAAGAAAAAAGAAGTGCTATTAACAAGCAATAGTCAAAATCAAAGCATGGTCTTTATGAAATCTCAATGTGGCTACCAGTCACCTAACATGTTTTCAGCTACAAACTCCCACAAAGCTAGTGATCACAGCTACTTTAATTCTTTGTAATACAAAGTACAAAGAACATTAACTAAGATGAATTCTCCTCCTAATCAATCATCCTCTATTCCTCATCAAGAAAAATTAGTTACAAAGCCCCTATCCATGGGACTGTGCAGAGAATTGTAACCTTTATGAAAGCATCAGATATTCTTAGAGAGAAAATTAAATATCTCTGAAATTATATGCAGATACTCTTGTGTTTATCTTTTCTTCTATTTTATAAGATTAAAAGCACTTCTATTAATGCTGATTATCAGTGTCTTTTGTTTAACATTCCCACGTTTGTAAATACAACAAAACTTTAATACAACTTGTAATAATTCATCACGTAATTGTAGCTGGACTCGTGTTTAATAAACTTTTAACATTTTACTCTTTAAAAGTATTCGCTAGCAAATTAGTACTAAAATCCAAATTTCAGGTTGGAAATTGGACATATATAGGAGACAATATTCATTAAACATAATGTAAAATATTCACACATATATGGTCTGGAGTCAGGGCCAATGAATCCTATTACTATCAACTCATAATCAGTCTTTGATAACTCACTGCTTTACTTGAAATTCTATTAATTAGCTCAACAGATCAAGTTAATATTCAAGCGTGGGAACGCACACACACACACACAGAACTGTACACAAACCCAGATGAAATAATTTTGTACATTTAATGATTTTCAGAAAAACATTACACAATTAAAATAAATACTTTTAAACTATTTGCAGCAGATTCATTTTAGACCACAAACACAGTGTGCAAAAAAATTATTTTTCTTGTTCTGCTTAAATAAACTCCCATCATATTGAACCTATGAAAAATGGATTTTTAGTCATGAATAGAGGCAATGTCCAGATTTACATTTCCTTTCCATCACAGAAAGCCCATCAGAGAAAGGGCCCTGAACTGCAATCTTGAATGTATTCAAATTCTCATTTTCCAGGTGAACAGGCAGTCCCTGACCTGTGGTAGCTCTGTCATTCACTGCCCAGGCTGGTCTGGACTGGGGTCCTTAGCACTTGATTCAGCTTCCCAAAAGCCAATGGGCCCTAGACTTCACATTACCCACCACACCTTATCAGTGCCGTAAACCCAGAATAACTCTTGCCTTTAGGCTGCATCTACTTTCAGTTCTGCTATATTCTCTCTGGTTTTTACACACCTTGGCTATAGGATTAATGCTTGAAACCTGGAATGGGCAGGGGGAAGCCAGGTGGAGTGGAGAGGAAGAGATGAACATATAGCAAGAATCAATCCAGATCACTGTATCAGCCATTTCTCTAATCTCATTTTAAAAATAAGTCAGAAGACAGTGATGAGTTTTAAGATAAAGCTTTAATAATTGGAATACTCTAGAAGTCACTGAGTGTTTCTTAAAAAGGCAAATGACGGTAATAAATCAACCTTAGAATAAGAAGGCGGAACTAAAGGAAAATTAACTGTTTTGAAGCTCATCTTAATTGTGATTGTTAATTTTATGTGTCAACTTGACTGGACCATGGGATGCCCAGATATTTGGTTAAACATTATTCCTGGGAGTGTCTATGAGGGTATTTTTAGAATAGATAAACATTTGAACTGGTCAATTGCATAAAGCAGATAAGATTCCCCACCGTGAGTGGATATCATCCAATCTGTTGAGGGCCTGCATAGAACAAAAAGGCAGAGAACATTGAATTCCCTCTCTGTCTGATGGTTGAAGTGGGACATGGAGCTTCTCCTGCCCTTGGTGCTCCTGGTTTTCAGGACTTCAGACTTGGACTGGAATCTATGCCATTGACCTCCGACTCTCAGGCCTTCAGACTACAGCAATAGTTTTCCTAAGTCTCCAGCTTGCAGACAGCAATATCAGATCATGGGACTTCTCAGCCTCCATATCTGAGCCAATACTTTGTGATAAAGAAGGATATTCTATTGGTTCTGCTTGTCTGGAGAACACTGATGAATACATGTAAGCTTCTAAAAGTGTCTCTTTAAAATCTATGTTTCTTTTAAAATCTCCTTTAAGTAAACTTTACTCCATAGCATAAGAAATCTGTCTTCATTCACAATATTTCTTTTGAAATGCTTGTCTTACTCTGTCTTACTCTGGAGTCTTCTCTGAATTTTAGAGGCTGCCTGGGAGGCGGTGAAAAATGAATTAATTAATCTGTATTCTACAACATCTATTATTCCCATCAGAGCAACCCCACTCAGATATATTCATTCTATAGAGAACTTCCTAGTAAACTGCTTTTTGAAGAAAAGATTCTCTAGAAAACAAAATGTGTGAAAAACTACTATAGGGTATCAGAGAAATGACTATTGTGATAGAATAAAAGGTAGATGCTAAAATATGTAATCTATAAAGCTAATGAAATTTTTTATCACGTGAAAGGGCAAAGGCAACACTAGTAAAATTAACAATCAAAAGACCTTATTAACTATCAAAGTATCTATATTTGTAGTCCTCTCAGCCTAACATTTTGTCGTTAAGCATTTTTAAATAAGCAAGTGAAAATTATCTCTGTAGGTAGAAAATTCAATACTCAGAGATTTTAGAGGAAAATAGAATATGAAGTGTAATTCCTTTTATATATCCAAGTGTACTGTTCTACATATTTTCCTTAAAAGAGACCTCTACTTTATTTACCATCTATAATGTTCACATTGAGTAAAACCTCAATATCTATAATAATTATTATTTTTAATAACGGCATTACTAAAATGATAAGAAAAAAGAATAAGACGAGGAGAAGAAATCCGGTTTAGGAAAGAAAAAAAAAACACCTGTAACAACAGAAGCAGCTCTGTCTGAAGGCCTATTTTACCACCTAATACGTTGTTTAACTTCTCTGAGCCTCAGTATCTTCATCTATGAACTGAAGTGAATGAAGTTAATGATAATTTTAACATGAAGTGCCAGGTACTCTTCTAAGCATGCAGTATCCATTATTTCATTCATCACACACTGGGGGCCTTAGCACGTGATTCAGCTTTCCAAAGGCCAATGGGCCCTAGACTTCACATTACCCACCACACCTATGAGGTGGTTGCTACTATTATCACCATTCACATGGGGAAACTGGAGCCCAGGAAAGGTAAATACCTTGTCCAAGATCACTGTATTAGTCTGTTGTCCTGCTGATAATAAAGACATATGCAAGACTGGGTAATTTATAAGGAAAGAGGCTTAATTCACTCACAGTTTCTTAAGGCTGGGGAGGCCTCATAATCATGGTGGAAGGCAAATGAGGAGAAAAGTCACATCTTACATGGTGGCAGGCAAGAGAGCTTGTACAGGGGAACTGCCCTTTATAAATCCATCACATCTCATGAAACTTATTCACTGTAAAGAGAACAGCATGGGAAAGACCTGTCCCCATGATTCAATTACCTCCCTCAGGGTCCCTCTCACAACACGTGGGAATTATGGGAACTACAATCCAGATGAGATTTTGGTAGTGACACAGCCAAACCATATCAGTCATGTAGTCACCAAATGGTAAAGTTGGGATTCAAACCTAAGCAGTCTGACTCCAAGGCTACACTCTTAGCCACTATTTTATATTTCATCTTTAGGGAGTTGAACCCATACATTAAGACTACAGAGTCTTTGTTCTTTAACCCTTGGTTGATAGGTTATCATTCATTCTGCAGATATTTATTTGCATCTACTACGTGTCAGCTACTCTTGTAAACAATGAAGATACCTAGTATATCTAGTAATAAAGGCAGGACAAATGATTACTCTAAAATGCTTATGTTATAATAGGGATGAAACAAAATAATCAAACAAAGTTTGTATAATATGTCAGGTGATAGTAAGTGCTAAGAATAAAAATAGAAAAAAAGGGATTGAGATAATAGGGGCAGTTCCTATTTAGTTTAGTATAGAAGGCTTTCCTGACATGGTAATGCTTGAATAGAGATAAGAATAAAATGAGTGAATTTTCTGGAGTGATTATAAGGATTATATGAAATAAGTACATACAGCTACCTAAGAGAGTAGCTGTGTCATAATAGGGGCTGTCAATTGTACTTTCTTCTTGAGTGAGGAAAATTGTGCCCTAGTAGAAGGCAAAGCCTTGACAGAACACCTTTTTCATTCAAGCTATTTTTTTTCAGTAAAAAAATAAAAAACAAATATGACCAAAAGTCTCCAAATCCCCTTGAGCACTCAAATTTACAAAAGCAAAAGCATTGCAAACTGAGATAAGTACAAGCTGTGTGTCCATCTGTTTGTGTGTGTATGTGAGAGACAAAGAGTTCAATGACAGGGTAAAAGGAGAGAGAAAATTTGATAGAGACATTCAAGGATTTAGGCAGAAAGTGCTGACGTACTTGTGAGCATTTCTGAGCATGAAGTGTCTGATGTGCTAATAAATAATGCTTCAGAATTCAGAACTTTTGTACAGTCAGAGGAAGATGAACATTTCACTGCTTCTGGATTTCAACCAGCTCAATTAATACCATATATACCATATGGCTCACCCAAATTCATGAATCACAGATACAATTACCGTCGTGTTTTAAACAGTACCATGACTGTCATAATGCCATGCAGAGAAATTAGTTTCCTTTGGGAAAATTATGTGGACATTAACATTTTATGAATATTTACTTGAAAAAAACATTGGGTTGTAATAGCTCTAAATTTATTTTTAATAATATATAACTGTGAATATCCGTCAGAGCATATGACTTACCAGAGTCCACATAGTGCTTTTAGGGATTACTTCATTTCATGGTTTCAGTATTAAATTAAAGTAAAATTCATATAAAACTCTACCTGAAATGTAATACAGAATCCAGGTGCAGGGATAGTAAAATAGTAATTACTTTGGCCTTCTTGGCTTGGACAGGTGGATCAGACCAGGTTAGTTGTTGCTTGCTGTTGTTGCATAAACTTTGCAGCCACTTACTGATATCTGTGCCCATCTATTTAATTTAATGTAAATACTTAGTTGATAGATATAGTATAGGGAATTTGAGTAATGGAAGGTGGGGGACACAAATGTGCTTTTGTTTCTCTAATGGTAACAAAAGTTCTTTGCAGGAGGAAATAATTGGAGGAACTCTAATCCAGTCAGCTGCTCTCTGTTTCACCTATTGCATGATTTGATTAAGTTTTTGGCTGTCCCGGTGGACGTCCTTGCCAGAGAACGGGGTGCTACAGGAGACCACACCCTCTGAGCAAGTCCTCTCTGTACTCTTCCACCTTGCCCTTTCCTTCACCCAAAACTGTCAGCCTTGCTTTTCCAAACTTTTACATATCATGTGCTCTAACTCAAGCTGTTGCACTCCTCTAAATTGCTGTTCAGATTATTTTATCTAAGAAGGGAATTCTCCAAGTTTAAAAGTATCAGGCATGCAATATTTCAGTCACATAATAAATCTTTTTAGTATGACCTCATGCCATGGCCCTTCAAAATACATCAAATTAAAGCTTTAAAAACCAAACACTGTCAGAAGGAATAGTGTAATAACTCCTTTGAGTGGCTGAAGCCTCTATTCTTCATCTCCTCTCTAAATTTCTCCATAAACTGCAAGCCTAAATTTGTTTTGAAGGAGGTGGTAACTATGATGATAACAAACAGTATTCTGCAAAGTCAGAGAACTGATTCTTTTCTTATCATAGTATTATTTTACTTAATAAATTAATAGTAAAATCAAATATTAATAATAAACATAGCTCTCAAATTAAGCTCTTTAGATGAAGTAATTTGTCTGAGAATAGATCCACCCATATCTCTTTCCAGAAATCTAACTTGCAAGAAACATTAATGCAGCATGTCTTTTTCACTAACAGAAAAAGCATAGTAGTTGTGCTGGCTTATTTTCAAATAAATATTCAATATGAATTTACATAATAATTTGGCTTTACAGAAATTTTATATTTTAGTAACTAAGTAACATTAAAAAATACAGTGATTTATTACTTCATGTAAGATAAGGGTAATAGTATTATAACTATGGAAACAACTTTTGATCAAAAATATTGTCAAGACACAGACCTTTCCATGAGTGTTGCCTTCTATGTTCACACCCTTTCTAGGTGTGGTATGACTTTTCTTCATTCCTTATAAAACCTAAATACTAAATATAAATAATGCTTACAATGCACATACCATATGGTCTACACTGAGACAGATAGGTAGTTTTAATTTCAGAAAGCCATATTTCTGATTTTATAGCAGCCCTATGTATCATTTATTCACTTAAATTTTATCTCAACCCTCAGAGGAAACTTATTGCATATCCCATCATCAAACTTCAAAAGATACAGTTTGTTATCCTAAATAAGTGTTCTTTCCTTACAGTGACAGCATAAGCCTACAAATCTGATTTCATGAAAACTTTCTTTACCTCCATTGATATTCATGTACTTTTTTAGATATTGTCCTAAGGCCAATAGGCTTTTGGCAGAGGAGATAGTGGGCAAGTCTGTGAATATGAATGTTAAATAGGAGTGGCTTTGTTGTATTTTTGAGACTTCTGAACCACTTTTCGGATTCACTCACAATCAGTTAATACACTAATCAGTTGTATTTTGAGACATCTAATATGTATGGGAGAAGCAAAATCCCTGTGCAATCAAATTGGGTCATCTTGAAATATAAAATATAAACAAGTGTTAAATGGTGTCATGAATCAGGAAGTACTAAATGAATTCAGAGGAGTAAGTCAGCTACAACACTTGTAGAGACTTCAAGATCACCTGTTTTTGATGAGTGGGCAAAAAAGATATTGGAAGGAAAGAAAGAAATTTCAGGTGGAGGAAGAGGCTGAGCCTTGGAGACATAGGCCTGGTTAAGAATATTCTCCAGAAGTGAAAGGGATTGTTCTCTCTAGAGTTTAATGGGAAATGATTTTAGATTGTTTGAGTGAGGGCAGAGAATGAAGGACTTTGAAATCCTGGTAGTGAAGGGATCTATAATAGTAGCCTCTTAAAGTGAACTCTTGTAAAATCTTCAGCAGGTACATGAAAACTGTATGTGAGAAATCTTGACATATTGGATTGGAATTAAGAGAAACTAAGGTCATAGGACCTCACAGTCAGGCAGAGGATTGTTCTTCCTAATGTCCAGAAAATAATTATAGCAAGAAAATAGTTGTCTGTGATGAAATAAATTTGAAAAGTCATTAAAATCAAAGGAAGAGATAATTACTCTCAACCAATAATGACAGACTAGTGGAGGCCTTAAAAAGATTTGTAAAGTTTATTGGGCCAGCCAAACAAGTGAATACCTATTCCATAGCTGTGCCTGCCTTCTTTCTTACTGCCACGCTTTAGACGACATCATTATTTTGTCTGGAATGCACTTCCTCTCCCTTGCTAACTATAACAATAATAGCACCTGATATATACAGAATGCCTTATACTTGTGAATTTGCAAAATGGTTAACTTTGTTATGTGGGTGGAACCAGAAAAAAGTGATTTGCCCAATCATATAATCTAGAATAAGACTAACTCTAGTTCTTGAGGTCTTTAACACCTCTATTTTTAAAAAAGACTTTGACCAAAATAAAGTTTAAAATATGGAGCTCAATTATAAGGCAATTTCTGAGAATTGCTCTTGGGTAATGATAGTAGTTATTCCTATGTTGACATGCCAACCTGTCAGATTAGAGGTGAAGCTTGACTTAATCCTCATCAAGATTAAATTAAATTAAATCAATTATTTTTTCCCAGTCTTTCCTAGATGTAAGATCTTCACTCGTTACAACCTTCCCACTGTGTGCTGGTGGAAAATTCACCTATTTCCTCTTTGGCTTTATGCTTAGAGAGAGGCACAGGTGAAGGTCCTTTTAAGGGGTTTAACGATTGGCATGAATATGTGTTGTTTGCACACAGATTCTGTTTTCCAGGCAGAGTGCCCAGCTTCATTTGCATTTTTGTTTATTATTTCTTCAGCATTCCACATGCTATTCAGCTGGCTGTTTTGTGAATCTGATCACATTTGGCTTGCTATTCTTTAAAAGGGAAAATGTCATTTTAAGATGGGGAATAGATCTATATCTGGAATGGGATACAATTTGTAATTCTGAGTCTTTTGTGTTGTTCCATTCATTTGTTTACCAGAGCATTCTCTGGATGCTGTAGGGGTACCCTATGGAAAGAAGACTTTCTGAGGTTCCTATTATAACACAAAAAGAGAAAAATACAGGGAAAATGGGATCTATGAAAAAACAAAACAATATGCCATAATTTACCACGTTTAAATTCAAGCAGGTTTTCAGTATTTTTTTTTTTTGGTAGTAGAGTTTGAGATATGTGGTTTACATCCAGCTAACATGCTTCATGTAGTAATGTCTATAATGTGCCTGGTGTGTGTGTGTGTGTGTGTGTGTGTGTGTGTGTGTGTGTGTTTAAGAGAGATAATTAAGAGAGAGAGATAATTGGAAAAATATCATTAAACAGTTCCACTTACATTAAGGTGCCTCCTCTACCATCATGAATCACCAGCCAGGAGGCACTTTTCTCTGGTGATTCATTCCAATTCGATTTTATAAAAAAAATTATTTCTTGGTTTATAGCACCGTGAGAGACATTATTATGGATGCTAAGATGAATAGAAGTTTATTTAGGGCAAAGGGAGAAAAAGGATGACAGCCACAGGGAGCTATCTCTACAAATAAATGAACTTTCAGTAAAGCAAGGCACATTGGGAAATGGAGGTCCTGAGCATCTGCAGTCTAGTCGGGAGTGGAGAGATGGCCACGGAGGATGAAACAGACGAGACCGTAAGGATATGGGAATGTACTGTATGTTATTCAAAAGAAATCAGAATTTATTCTCTCTGTAAGGGTAACTACTATTAACATTTTTATTTAGACACAGAACATGGTTTTTGGTTTCTGGCCTATAGTCTACCTCCCATTCTCCACCAACTCTGAAGTGATGAGCAGGAGTAATAAAGGCATTCTCCCTAATTCTGCTTTTGTCAGTGCTCTCACAAAATTTGTAGGGTGGAAACAAGTGCCTAAGAGCTTCAATTCGTATATAGGCATAGTTTGTAGGGCGGGGAACTAGTGCCTAATAGCTTAAATTCGTATGTAGACATAGCTGGTTTTATCGTTCAACAAGATTACACATTTCTGGATTCCTAGTCAAATTTAGTCTGCAGGCCACAGGCAGTATGCTTCCTAACAAAGATCTATTGCCTTTTTGTCTCTACTTGCAGACTAGTTCACTCTAACCTGAAATTTTGCTGCTGGAATTTTGTGATACAATTGTCTGCTGGAAGTTTCAAGAAGCAGCCAGCACACAAACACATTCTGATTTTTTCCCACTTATTTACCCAAGGCCATAGCACTGGCCGATAGTTCATTTATCTTCCAAAGTATAGTAAGCAATATGTTTTTCAAAAATAATTTCAACTTTTAATTTCAATTGAGGGGATACCTACGCAGGTTTGTTATGTGGGTATATTGTGTGATGCTGAGGTTTGGCGTACAACTGATCCCATCATCCAGATAGTGAGAATAGTACCCAACAGCTAGTTTTTCAACCCTTCCCCTGCTCCCTCTTCTATTCTTCCCCAGTGTCTATTATTGCCATCTTTAAGTCCATGAGTACCTGATGCTTAGCTGCTGCTTATAAATGAGAACATGTGGTATTTGGCTTTCTGTTCCTGCATTAATTTGATAAGCAATATTTTGACTCAATGCTTTGCAATTTCTTTTTTTTATTTTATTATTATTATACTTTAAGTTTTAGGATACATGTGCACAATGTGCAGGTTAGTTACATATGTATACATGTGTCATTCTGGTGTGCTGCACCCATTAACTCGTCATTTAGCATTAGGTGTATCTCCTAATGCTATCCCTCCCCCCTCCCCCCACCCCACAACAGTCCCCGGACTGTGATGTTCCCCTTCTTGTGTCCATGTGTTCTCATTGTTCAATTCCCACCTATGAGTGAGAATATGCTGTGTTTGGTTTTTTGTTCTTGCGATAGTTTACTGAGAATGATGATTTCCAATTTCATCCATGTCCCTACAAAGGACATGAACTCATCATTTTTTATGGCTGCATAGTATTCCATGGTGTATATGCGCCACATTTTCTTCATCCAGTCTATCATTGTTGGACATTTGGGTTGGTTCCAAGTCTTTGCTATTGTGAATAGTGCCACAATAAACATACGTGTGCATGTGACTTTATAGCAGCATGATTTATAGCATGGTACTGGTGCCAAAACAGAGATATAGATCAATGGAACAGAACAGAGCCCTCAGAAATAACACCGCATATCTACAACTATCTGATCTTTGACAAACCTGAGAAAAACAAGCAATGGGGAAAGGATTCCCTATTTAATAAATGGTGCTGGGAAAACTGGTTAGCCATATGTAGAAAGCTGAAACTGGATCCCTTCCTTACACTTTATATGAAAATTAATTCAAGATGGATTAAAGACTTAAACGTTAGACCTAAAACCATAAAAACCCTAGAAGAAAACCTAGGCATTACCATTCAGGACATAGGCATGGGCAAGGACTTCATGTCTAAAACACCAAAAGCAATGGCAACAAAAGCCAAAATTGACAAATGGGATCTAATTAAACTAAAGAGCTTCTGCACAGCAAAAGAAACTACCACCAGAGTGAACAGGCAACCTACAAAATGGGAGAAAATTTTCACAACCTACTCATCTGACAAAGGGCTAATATCCAGAATCTACAATGAACTCAAACAAACTTACCAGAAAAAAACAAACAACCCCATCAAAAAGTGGGCGAAGAACATGAACAGACACTTCTCAAAAGAAGACATTTATGCAGCCAAAAAACACAGAAAAAATGCTCACCATCACTGGCCATCAGAGAAATGCAAATCAAAACCACAATGAGATACCATCTCACACCAGTTAGAATGGTGATCATTAAAAAGTCAGGAAACAACAGGTGCTGGAGAGGATGTGGAGAAATAGGAACACTTTTACACTGTTGGTGGGACTGTAAACTAGTTCAACCCTTGTGGAAGTCAGTGTGGCGATTCCTCAGGGATCTAGAACTAGAAATACCATTTGACCCAGCCATCCCATTACTGGGTATATACCCAAAGGACTATAAATCATGCTGCTATAAAGTCACATGCAATTTCTTAACAAAAGTCACCAGGCTTCCAAGCTCCAATATTTATATCCCCTCCACCTCTACTGAGTCAATGCCACATTTTAGATTTTTTTATTTTTTGCGTTCCACTTCTATCAAATTTTGGTAGTTAATACAAATAATAAACAAAGATCAATGCCAATTTTGTTAGTTTTCAAAGAAATTTTTTAAATAATGAAACAATAATGAAAATAAAATAATAAAACAGGTAAAAATTCAATGATAAATAACAATAAATGTGAAGTAAAATGGTACTCATACATGAATATTGGCAAAACTATATTTTCACTTGATTGAGCAACATAGATCAAGATTAATAATGTATTTTGATTTGCAGTAACATTGATACAAACCTTTTAAAGAAATAATAAACTTTATATAAAAACAATGTGTATGATTTGCTTCCTGTCATCAATAAAAATAGGAAGCTATTTGCCTTAGTCTGTTTGAGCTGCTATAACAGAATACAATAGACTTAGTGGCTTATAAACAAGAGAAATGTATTTCTCACAGTTCTGGAAGCTGAGATGTCTGAGATCAAGGCGCTGGCAGATTTGGTGTCTGGTGAGGGTCCACTTTCTGATTCATACATGGCTGTCATTTGGCTGCATCTTCACATGGCAGAAGGAACCAGGGAGCTCTCAGGGTCCTTTTATAAAGGCACTAATCTCACCTAGGATGGCTCCTTCATGAGCCTAACCACCTTCATGCCCTAATCACCTCTCAAAGGCCGCACCTCCAAACCCCATCAAATTAGAGATAAGATATCAACATATCAATTTTGTAAGGGACACAAACTTTTCATCCATGGTCTACTTGAATATTGAAATGAAGAAAAGTAGATAAGACAATTACAAAACCTCTACTCAACAGAATATTATGTAGCTATGAAAATAATTATGAAGACTATGTTGTCACATGTTAAAGGGCTCATTGTATAAAAACCAGTTTATAAAATTACATGCACGTAATGACTGCAAGCAAGTGAAGTAATGTATAAAAAATTATTGGATATGATTATAGCTAATTGATTATAGCTGTTCTATTGAGTGATGAGATCATGTCATTTTTCTACAATTTCCGAGGTTTTGTCCAGGAAAAATACCTAAAGAATTATGGTCTATGAACTGACATGACTTACCTATAAAAAATAATAAACTGAACCTGTATTATTAAAACAGTTTAAAAGGGGCATATTACTGTAGTCTGGTGGTTTAGAGTGAAAACGTATTTTGTAAAGGTTGGGCTTTATGCTACTTGCAGAACAGCTGTCTTTATCCATTTATCCACTAATTATTTTCTATAACTTATTTACTTAAAGTTATACAAACTGCTGGTAATTTGTTAAATTCCATAGATGTTTATCAAAGTAATTCTTAGTCAATCTCCTCTGGTAGTGTTTGAGGCTCAATTTAAAATTATTTTTGAAATATACACACCAACATTCCACAATATATCTATAACTCTTATAAAATGGTTTTCCATTTTCTATCTTTTTGTTTTGTGTGTGTGTGTGTGTGTGTGTGTGTGTGTGTGTTTGTGTGTGTTCATTTGTTTTTACTGTGAGCTTCTTCCATTTCCCTAATTCTGCAAACTATTTCTGAAGTATTTAAAACAATACTTTTTAACTTGCCACAAAATAACTTTGGTATAGCTAACGGGGGAATGTCAATATAAATTTGATAGGTAGAAGATCAAAGGCAGAGTAGATTTTTTAAAAAAGGACAGACATGTGTGATATACACATAGTAAAATCCCGTGGTTTGGAATCCTGTGATCTGAGTTTAGTTAGATTCGCGGTCTTTTGTTTTTCCCTCTTGGAACTCTTATATCCACTACATGAGTCTATTCTTCTCTGTGTTAATACTTTTATAAGAATACTGATGGCCATTTTTTTAATGGGGAAGCTCATGTGCTACATATTGTTTCTCTTCCAATTGTTTATATCAAGATAAATCTATTTTCATTTGAACAAACTATATTACCTCTCTTGAGTAAAGATCACTTTTATAATTTTTGCAGGATAGATTTTTAGATTATTTTGTAGTAGTTCTGGTAGCTTTCCCAATAATAATTCTAATACTTGAGTTCACTCACTATTATCTCTCCCTTATATCTTACTATTTTCATTTGTCTTTTTCTTCTGCACTTCTTGGGAGCATCTCAAGTTTGTCTTCCAACCATTGATATTCATTGTTACTTAGTATTTTAGTTTGTTTTGATTTTTAGTTTTCCTCCACCCTATCTGTATCTATTACACTTACATTCTTTTGTTTGTGACCTTTACATCTATACTTGCATTTATAATTGTCTCTCTTCCTGGGCTGGATCTTTACCTCTTGAATTAAGGGGGTCAATTTCCCAAAATGTTCATCTGGCTTAGTAAATATTGGTATTCCTCTGAATCTTTAGGATACTGATTCTTTTTACTTGCTCTGCAATAAGGTTGCCTGATTATTTGTGTGTGTGCTCTGTGTATGTGTGTGTACCTCATTCCTGTCTTCATAGAAGTCATTGCAGAACATGATATTGATAAATAACTAAAATTGGTGATTTGCTCTGTTTACTTGGTTGATGTGAACTCCAAAACAAATGTCTAGCAGACTTTTGTCTAATTCAGATTTGAGGGACAAATGCGAGAACATCTTACAGTTCCTAAGACCGTTATTTTTTATATGAAGACAAATATTTATTTATTTAAAGATAGGTTCTCACTATGTTGCCTAGGCTGGTCTTGTTCTTCCGTCCTCAAGCAATCCTCCAGCCTCTGCCTCCTAAGTATCTGGGATTATAGGCATGAGCCACCATGCTTAGCAATAAAAGACTTATTTTTAAAAGCTACACACCCTAATTTCAAATACTTTCACCTTTTTCTTGAGTGCTCTCCATCTACATAATTTAACTGTGGGGATTCTACTTCCAAGTCCTCAGTGTGACATTCTCAGTATCCTTTCTTCTTATCCTTCTCCCTCAGTAACATCAGTTTCCTCAATAACATCACAGAATCCCTAACTCAACACTCCCACCCACCCCACCATATGCATTTTGTCAAATACTTCTGGAATTTAAGTCCTTGAGTACATACAGCAGGAAAGAGAAATTTTAACTGGTAGGAGAAATATAGCAATCATGATTTAACACCCAAAAAACCAAAGGTGGGTGGCCACTTTTCTAGTTTTTCACTCCATGATTATTATTTTATTCAATAAATATTTATTAAGCTCCACTATATGCCAGAACTGAGCTAGGTACTGGAAATACCATGGTAATAATGAGAAAACAAAAACTATGATCTCTATTTTCATAGACCTTACATTCCAATGGGAGAGATAAACATGAATAATCATAATGTCTCTCTTTCATTTTTAATGAAAAATTGTGGTAAATATGACAAAGGAAAAGCATAGAGAAAGGGAAAGTAGTCGAGGATTAAGAATGATTCTCTGGGTAGATGACATTTAAGCTGAGAACTAAAGAAGGAGAAGGGGTTAACCATGTGCCGAGCATAAATGTGGTTGTCAGGTGAGAACAGGGCTGGAGAGCAGGCAGTGGGAACACAGCCTGTTAAATGCCCGGGGGTAGCAAAGAACTTGGCACCAATCTCATGTGTCTGAAAAAGAAACCATTTAGTTAAGGAAAAATGAAGCATAATTTTTCCTACAAGTGAACCTGATGTACAAAGGCCGTCACCCCTTTTATTGTTGTTTTATTTTGCCAGTTCTATTTCAGCAAGTAGACAGTAGGATCTTCTTTATAGTGTCATCATGAGTTTTCAATCTTAAAATCATATTAATAAGTATTTTTGGCAGAATCTGAAGGAAGATTTGCTAATTGGCTGACATTTTAAGGAGAATCTATCAAGTGGTCAAGCATTCTCGAAGCAGAAGCACAGTAACTAAAAAGACCACAAGGATGACTATTACAGTTGTGAGGTTGGCTTACACTCTTCCATAGGTTTGGCTAGTAAGGAGTCAACAATCCTAGAGAGATCCCGACAGTTTGCTTCTTATGCAAAAGCAAAGCAACATCAGCATGATGATGTCAGCTCCCCATGTTCCTGGTTCCAAATTATGACACTAACCCCAAAGAGTCAGATGATGAGTGACATCAGTGAAGTGTCACTCTGTCATGGAGGAGCAGCCTCTATACTACAGCCAAGCAGGTTTATACACTTAGTCAAGAAGTCTGCAACTGTATTCAAAGAGGTGAGGTGAGGTAGAAAAGTCCTTTACTCAACTGAAGCCAGAATCATCTTGTGGGAGTCTTCCACATGATTGGAATGAGAAACTGCCTTACAGCAACTCCTTAAAAGGTGTACCTCCCCTTACACCAAAAAGAGAGTCACAGAACTCGCCATCAAGCCTTAAGTCAGACTATGGTCAAGCATTGCCCTGCGTGGAGTTATGCAAGATTGCCAGGGTACCATGGCAGAGCCATTTCCCTACGGAACCCCCTGTTTGTTTTCAATACTCTTCTAAAATATGTGCTCCCAGTGTCCTTTATGATAATCAAAAGAAGTTCATAGCAATGCCTTATAGAAAAATAATGCAAACTATTATGATAGTAAAACAAAATGGGAACTCTCTTCCTCTCTTTCCATATTTATACATATATTCTCTATCACTCTCTCTGATATATATTCCCTAAACCACAGGCTTTTGCCCTAAGTTTTTGTTATTCAAGATGACTAAATTGTATCTCCATCCCCTTTTTAGGGAGATGGAAATAATTTCTAAAGAATTTTAAGGCTATAGGCTAACATAGATAGGGACAATTACCTCTGGCTCAGAGAAGAGAGTCCTTATCCCTACTGAAGAAACTCAGGAAAGACTTCTGGAAAACATGACACCCAGGCTAATATCTAATGGAAGAGAATAAGTTCAACTTGTAGCTCTATTCTTGGTATATAATAAGTATTCAAAAATGTCAGATGAAGGATGATACAGAGCCAGTGTTGTGGTTGGAAATAAAGGCCAGGACAAGCCAATGTAGCATCTCATTTAACTGTCTAAGTATTTTACATCTTACCTTGAAGGTGATTTTAGAAGTTAAAATTATATATATTTAATTTTTAATTTCAGATTATATTTATTTATGCATTAGACCAATAACTCTGGCAACAGGGACCATAGATTCATACCCCCACCATCCCCCAGCCCCAAGAAGCTAACTCAAATGGAAATAGAACAAAACAGAAAATAACAAAAATAGATTAGCAGGGCTTCAAAATGGAAACTGAAAATCTGACTCTAAAATTTATATGGAAATTCAGAAGAACAAGAGTAGCTAAGACAATCTTGCATTACACATTCTTATGTGTAAGAAATCTTGCTTTATGGATATCAAGACTTGCTATATGGTAGATAATTAAGAGAGAGTGGGGCTGCATCAACTATAGACACGTAAACCAATGCAATGAAATAGATGCCCAGAAAAAGGCTCACATAGATATAGATATTTGATTTATGCAAACATTTGTACTTTAGAGAAATACAAGAAAGAATACTCTAGTCAATAGAGAGTACTAGGTTGTTTGGATAACTATATGGGAAAGATGTCTTACCAAAAAATTATTTCTAGGTAGACACTAGACATAAATATGGAAGGCAAAATAATAAAGCATCTAAATAAGGATAACAGAGGAGAATATCTTCATGACTATTGTTAGGAAGTAACTTTTAAAATAAAACATAAACACAATCATAAATTCATTAACTACTTCAAAATTAAGTACTTTTAATCAAACTACACCATTTGAGAGGCTGAAAAACAGGCTACAAAGTGAGATAACTATTTTCTTCATCTATAACTGAACTTATGAATAATATAAAGGACTCCTACGATTGCAGACTGAATTGTGTCCTCTGAAGATTCATATGTTGAAGCCCTAACTTCCAATGTTTCTGTGTTTGCAGATACAGCCTTTAAGGTCATAAGAGTGGGGTCCTAATATGATACGACTGATGTTCTTGTAAGAAGAGAGCAAAACAGAGTCTGCCACTCCCACACAGAGAAGAGGCTATTAAGGATACAGTGAGACGGCAGCTGTCTGGAAACCAGGAAGGAGCCTCACTAAAATCCAGCCCTGATGGCACCTGGATCATGGACTTTCAATTCCAGCACTGTGAGAAAATAAATTTCTGCTGCTTAAGCCACCCAGTCTGATATTTTGTGATGGCAGTCCAAGCTGACTAAGACACCTGCCAATCATTAAGAAAAAGACAACCCAGCAAGGAGAAAAAGGCAAGAGACTTGAACAAGCACCTCACAAAAATACCTCAAGGGCCAATACATATGACAGAATATATATAGCATCAGGGATCTGCACAGGAAAACAGAAGCTACTCTATGTATTCCAGGTGTGAAGGGCTTTATTAGAGGGAATTAGAAGCTTATAAAAACATTTAGAGAGCTGGAAGAGTAGAGCTCAGAGAAGCTCCCACCCTCTCAGTCTACATCAGTAAAGCCAATAGTTCCCAAGAGTTTGTGTTCTCCATATAATAGTTCTCAACAGGCTTCTATGAATCTAATGTCTGCCTATGAGTCTTGCTACAACCTCTTCTGAAGAATATGACCTTCCCTTCCCTTCTAGGAATTGCCTCTAAATGTTAGACTTCAATGCAAAATAAGACAGGTGGTTGTTAGGACTGTAGTCTCTGGTTTACCCTCTGTCATACAGAAAATATCTTAGTAGGGATGCTAAATTTAATACACTCAATTCAGAACAGTGTTCAACTTCATTTTTAATCAGCAAAATAGGAAACAAACCTATGTACAGGTTCATTACACACCCATTAGATGGCTAAAAGTAAAAAGATTGGCAATACTAAGTGTTGGTGAGTATGTTGAGTGATAGTAGTCCTCATAAAAGTGTAGAAGTGTGAATTAGTATAATTAGCTTAACCACATTGGAAAGAAATTTGGCACTTTCTATTAAGTTGACCATATGCATATCATGTGACTCAATTCACTTTTAAATATATCCAACAAAAATATGTAAACACATGTACCAAAGACCATGCTATAATGTCCACGGCTCAAATATTTGTAGTAGGCATACCCTGGAAATAATCCAAATGACCATAAATAATACCTAAATTATGGTAGACTCAAACAATGGTATACTAAAGAGCAAACAAAACAAGTAAGTTATATGCAGCCAGACGGACGAATTTTAAAAATATAACATAGCCTGAAAGAAACCAGAAAAAATATACATACCTTGTTATTTCACTCATATAACATTTAAGACAGGCAAGAATGAACTATTGTGTTAGGAATCAGGATACTGGTTACCTTTAAAGGAAATAATAAGGAGGAGGAGAATTTCTGGTTACTGAAAATTATCCATCCTAGAAATATTCATATTGTAATAATTTATTGAGTTGTACAATTATATTTTATTGATCATTTTCTTTGCCTTCGACATCATAATAACAAAGGTAAAAATATACTAAACAAACAGCAAACATGCAAATCAGTAAACAAGCAAAAACTTCAAAATTAGGAAAAACAATCTCACCAAGAGAGACCCAACAATGGAAAGGTATAATTTAGTACTTTGTCTTAAAAAGTAACAGAAAGGAAATAAACAAGATGTTCTTTCAGGTCTTAGTACTGTTCCCAAACCTATCCCTGCTGTTACCTCCCAAATGTGCCAAATGTGATACTCAAAAGCTGAAAAAATTCAGGAAATGTTTACTTAATGAGAAGTGGATGCAGGGGAAAGTGGGAGCTTGGAGGAAAGCTCTGAAAGACAAGGGCAGAGCTGTGAAAGACAGAGCAATTATCATTGCTGTGTTCTAGCTGGGAAAAAAAAAATGTCACCAGGCCTCAATATTCTATAGGACTCTGTTCTGAATTTGCAGAAAGGAAGAGAACAAAGAAAGAAAAAGTTCTAATTAACAACCTAAGAGAAAGCTGGAAGTCCTTTAAAAGAAAAGAAGACAAATATGCTTGTGGATGATAATTGGTGTTTTTGAAGTAGAAAGCCCCCAAATAAAGTGATTTGAAGATATAATAGAAAATAATTTATTTGATGTAAGAGCTAAATCTGTATTTTAAAAGTTTATGTGAAAGATGCAAATATCAAGATGTGTTCTGGCTGTTATTAAACTTTCGGCATGAATGTGGAAAAAGAAAGTTACCAACAAAGAGATCAGGCTGGACTTGAACATTCTTACAACAATAATCAGTATCAGAAGATAACAGATCATGTTCACAAAGTCTTGAAGGAATGAATATTATGGCCAGTTTTGTTTTTTTTTTTATTCACTGAACAAGCATTTTGGAAATACTAAAAAAATTCAGGAATTACTGTGCCCATGATTACTTCTTGGAAAAACACAACCCAAATGACCGAATGATTAAATCCAGAAAATCAGAAGAAGAGTGGAAAACTAGTAGCAAAAATCAGTGAGACAGCTAATAGCAGGAAATATGAGGAGCAAGGTCTATAGCATTTTGGTTGGTAAAAAAGTAAATAATTGTTTGCCCCATTAGGAGACAAGTTTCTCAAGTTTGCAGCAATTCAGGAATACAGATCTTACAAACCTTTCTTGGGAGAAGAAGAAAAAAATCTTATACTGAAATCTGAGGTAGGTAGAATTCTAAAATGCCCCTCTAAGGTTCCCAGCCCCTGCAATACACACACCTTCTCCCAGTTATTCAATTCAACACCAATCTAGGTACACAGATTTTACACATATAATTAAGGTGCCAGGTCAGTTGTTCCTACAATATGAAGATTTTCCAAGTGGGTGTGACCTAATCACATAAACCTTTAAAAAGAGTG
The DNA here is from genome assembly GCF_000001405.40 of Homo sapiens. Lineage (NCBI taxonomy): Eukaryota > Metazoa > Chordata > Mammalia > Primates > Hominidae > Homo > Homo sapiens. The sequence goes on along the minus strand of NC_000012.12, from coordinate 41,108,383 downwards.
CTTTCTCCCACTCGTTGCTGAAGAAAAAAGCCAGAGATTTATAGCACGAGAAGAAAGTGGTTCAACATTTCTGGCTTGAAGACAGAAGGCAAGGCAGCCAAGTAGCTTCTAGTTGCTGTGAACGGCCCCAGCTGACATTCAGTAAGCAAGGATGAGAATTCTGCCAACAATTAGAATTGCTTGGAAGCTGACTTTTCCCCAGAGCCTCCAGATGAGAACCCACCCTGACTGACACCTTGATTTCAGCCTGTGATTCCCTTGGCAGAGGAAACAGGGAGGCTGTGCCCGTCTTCTGACCTATAGAACTGTGAGTTATTAGATGAGTATTGTGTTACATCATTAAGTTTGCAGTAATTTGCTACATCGCAACAGAAAATTTTAAAATCTCCAGACAATTCAGAAATATATAAACAATGGCAATACGGTGAGGGGCTGAATTTATATAAAAATAGGAGATATGAATAATCAAGAACAAAAACCATTAAAAAATCCTGCAGCAATTATTCACTCAATTTTTTTCTGTAAACAAATATCAAGTTCCTATATGACACTATTGTCCCAGGCACTGAACCTAAAACAGTGAACAGAACAGGGAAATTTTCCTGCCCTTGTGGAAACATTCTAATAAGGGGATGGCAAACAATAAACAAAGTAAGCAAAATGCACAATATGTCAGATGGTGATAAGTTCTATGGAGAAAAACAAGCTAGAGAGAGAAATGGATGGAAAGTTTGAAGAGAGGACTGTGATTTAAGTTGGGAGGTCAGAACAGTATGGCAATTTCTCAAAAAACTGCAAACAGAACTAACATACAGTCTAGCAATCCTACTGCTGGGAATTTATCCAAAGGAAAGGAAGTCAGTATATCAAAGAGGTACATAGACTACCATGTTCATTGCAGCATTATTCATAATAACAAGATATGGAATCAACCGAGTGGTGTCTGTCAACAGATGAATAGAAAAAAATATGGAATGTATATATACACAATGGAATAATATTTGGCCATAAAAAAGAATTAAATCCTACTATTTGCAGCAACATAAATGGAACTGGAGGGCATTATGTTAAATGAAATAAGTCAAGCACAGAAAGACAAATATTGCATGTTTACATTCATATGTGGGAGCTTAAAAAGTTGATCTCATGAAGTTAGAGAGTAGGATGATGGTTACCAGTAGGATGATGGCTGGGAAGGGTGTTTGGGTGTTGGGGAGATGGTGATGAAGAGAGGTTGGTAAATGGGTAAAAACACACAGTTAGATAGAAGGAATGAGTTCTAATGTTCGATAGCAGAGAGGGTGGCTATAGTTAACAACAATGCATTGTATATTTCACAATAACAAGAAGAGAGGACTTGAGATGTTCCCAACATGTAAAATAATAGATCCTTGAGATGGACATCCCAAACATCCTCACTTAATGGTTATACAGCCTATGCTTGTAACAAAATATCACATCACATGTAACCCATAAATATATACACATACTTGTGTCAATAAAATATTTAAATCAATCAATCAATGGGGTGGTCAGGAAAGGCCACCCTGAGAAGTTGGCATCTGAGTAAATCTTTCATGGTGACAGAGTCTGAAGCAAAGTGGTTCCAGAAAGAAGAAACATCAAGTACGAAAAGCATAAGGCGGGAACATACCTGGTATAGTTGGGAAGGCCGGTGTGCCTGGAGTGAAATAGTAGGAGATGGGATGAAATGAGTAACAGGGCAAAATTGCATTGGGCTTTCTAGGCCAACGTTAGGGCTTTGAAGTGTTTTGCTCAAAGGGTTAAAATCACTGTATTGTCTTTGTAAGAGCATCATTCTGTCTGCTGTGTTGAGATGTGACTGAGGGGCCAGGGCCAGAGCAGAGCAGGAAGGCCAGGTGGCAGACTGTGCAAGGATCTGAGGGCGAGGGATGGTGACCTGGACCAAGTTATGGCAGTGAAGGTGCTGGAAGGTGGGCAGGTTCTGGAGACATTTAGGAGGTAGAGCCAGCAGAATATGGTCTGGAATTGGAGTGAGGGAGATGGAGAGGACTCAAGAATGTTGAATGACTTCAAGTTTTATGGACTGAGCAAGTGGAAGCCTGAAGCTGCTTATGACCCAAATGGCCAAGACATTAGGAAGAGCAAGTTTTAATCTACTGGAGAGCTGAAAGCTGGTCATATTGTGCTTGAATTATCATTAAGAATCCAAATATTACAGAATAGAGTGTAAGTGATATACCTTCAGAATATAATTTAAAACAGAACAAAGTAAACTAAACTAAACTAAAATAAAATAAAATGAAATAAAAACAAACAAAAAACAAAAACAGGATCACTAATTTTAGGTGAAAGAAGAGGGGTGGTAGGAGGCAGTGTTTGAACATTCATTTCCTCGTCTTCATAGGAGCTATTCATCTACTGCCTGCAACTGAGATATTTAGCTAAAAAGAAAAAAATGACTTAACAACTTAAATTTTGTGGTGATCATTTAAAATTTAATTTAGATGAATGTTTTAGGTCATGGTATTTTTTTGATGAAGAAACAATTACTAAAAATTTAACAACAATTCATTTCATTTTAATGCAGCATTGTTCACTTTTAAATTTTAAATTAAAATAAAATAGCATGTCATAATTTTGAAAATGAAAATAGCAAGTACAATTCTATTTTAATAATATTAGTTTGATCTCAATCTAGTTATCTATACCTCTATGTTTCTTTATGAATGGAGATGTCTGGAATTAAGGTAACAAATTTAACAATTATTTCTAGTTGATAGAATTTTTTAACTTTATTTTTTATGTTGTATGGCTTGGATTTTTTTAAACATGCAAATTTTTATAATCAATAAATATGCATTTGTTACAATAGGTATGGGTAATAAAGTACAAGTAATAAAAGCATTTTCTATTTATTCTATATTAACAAAAATTGCAAAATAACAGTTGAATGACTGAGAGTACCTCTGGGAAACTGATTTCCAAGCCAGACTCATAAATACACATATCTATATGTGTATTACTAGGTAAGTGGTGTTAACCTTATAAGTAAACACCACTGTCTGAAGTGATTAATATATAATTCTGTTTGGGAAAGTGATTTAACACATTAATTGATGGGACTGGATTATTCATTACCAGAATTCTTGACACCATTTTGGGATGATTTAATTCAGTGTCCATATTCATTGCGACCCAGAAGAGCTGAGTTGCTTTGATATAGTTTCACTGTTTCCTCTTTCTTATGATTAACAAATGATGAGTGATCATGGCTATTCGAATAGGAAATCTATATCCTGGAGCTTTGACATCCAACATGCCATGAGTCACATGAGGCCATTTTAATTTAAATTAATAATAATTAAACTTAACATTTAGTTTCTCCTCACACTGGTATGTTTCAAGTTCTCACTGGCTAGTGGCTGCCCCTTTAGACAGTGCAAATATAGAATATTTCCATCATCTCAGAATGTTTGAGGGGGCAGTGCTGGTTTGAAACCAGTATGTTCCATGCAGAAAGTTTTTTGAAATGTTTCTCTAAAGTGTGTTATCTCTCTTTTAAGTTATTTATCTAGGTCACTTTTGAAAATTGTCATTTCATAAAAAGCAAGACGTATTATATATCATCTTGTGATTTGACAAGTTTGAGAATTTGGAATAGAATTACAAAAATAACTTGTGAAAACACATTAAAACTGACTTCAAATGATGATGACCTTGTCGACAAAGCTCTGGTGTTAGGGCTAACAACAATCTTTTTTTTTTTATTTTCCTACTTGAGAGGCTTAGGCAGGAGAATTGCTTGAATCTGGAAGGTGGAGCTTGCAGTGAGACAAGATCGCACCACTGCACACCAGCCTGGGTGACAGAGTGAGACTCTGCCTCAATAAAAAAAAAAAAGAATCTTGAATAATCTTCAAATCTTGGTCTTTGAGCCCACAAGAATTGTCCATAGAGTTTATTTATAAGTCTAGGCTAATGACAGGAAATCACATAAGTTATAGTTCAGATTAAGTGCAAAATCTTTGTCATTATTTTATACTTTTTAATGAAGCATTTTACAAAAGTTTATAAAGTATCTACCAGACGTATTGAAAATTCATTCTCAAACGTTTGACTTAATTTTTCTATATCTGGAAATTTAAATGACACCTGTATCAACTACATTTAAGGTACCATAGGAGATAACTTTTTCTTAGGACTAAATTTCCCCACTAGAAACCCAGGATTTGATCTAATAATGGCAGTCAGCCAATCAACCTCAAGGATTAACTTAAAATATCTCTTGCTTACGAAGCAAAATGGCAAGTCCCTAGATATTAGGGTTTATTTAATTTAATTTGCTCTGCCTACAAATAATCAACACCTCTCACCATAACTGGTGAAAAGCATTTATATTAATGAGTAATTCTGTTGACACACATTTAATACTGCTGTATTATATTAATTGCTTTTCAAAAATAATAGTACTTATGGTTTCCAGAATCACAAACAAATCATAATCACCAGCATTTAAAGTGGATTATTGTGTGAACTCGGAATTGCTTTCTGTGAACATTCCATAAACTTGTGGGGAGACTGATGTTGCAATCGTTTATTCTTTACACATTTTGTTTCAGAATGATTCCCTCTCCTCGGCATTAGTTCAGGTATTTGGTTTCAAAACATTTTTCGAGTTTTTAAGTATGTGTTTGCAAACACATTGTCATCATGAAGCATGAAGGATAAAGACATGATTTAATGTTTTATGTTGTATGAATAAAAATGTGGTCTTCTAAATTATATTTCGGGAGTTAAGAGTTCTGTTCTCTCTCTTAATATTTGTTTACAGACTAAAATAAACACACCAATTATAAAGTACCAAAAGTAAAATCAGATTTTATAAAAAAGAACCTCTGAGTCAAAATATTTGGTTGAATGATTATCGGTCTTTTTTTCTAAATTACAAAGTTGTATGTACACATTTTCCATTTCTGTTAGCATTTTTGAATATTTAATAAAAAAGTACTTGGGATAAATACTGGCTTTACATAATTATTGCTTTACTACTGAGGTTGAAGTTTAGCCCAGACAGAAAAAATCTAGATGTCTTAAGGGATAAAATTCCATATGCTCATGATCCCCTCTTTTGAAAGAGATCATGGAAATAAAGGAATAAAGTCAGTATTGGACATGGGTGTTTGGTGATACACATGGACTGTTTAACTTCATTGTAGGGGCTTGAGAGGATTCCACGCCTTCTGGAAATTTTGGGATCCCCAAGGATCAAGGGTGACCCTGTGTAGTCTGTTTTCTATGTATCGTTTTTTACAACACAACATAAGGGAAGACGGAGATGAAGATTCAGTAATCTACGAAGGGCTTGCCCCTCTGTTGACACCTAGGGTGAAATCTCCAACTCACTATTTTGAATAGTCCAGTTAGTTATCTCCTCAGCATATTGGAGGATCTGTCTCCATTCTCTAGCTGCACTGAACCCAGTTATACCGGCTGCTTTCAAAATAACATACTCTGCTGAGCTTAAATCCCTTTCTTTTCATGGGTTGGGAGTTCTAGATGCTCAACAATACCGAAATAACAATGATCTGTATGAAAAAGCACCATGCAAGCAAAGTTAAAAGTAAAATGACAGACTGGAAAATATATGTAACAACACATAACAGACAATAATTAGAGTATGGCCATCATGCTGATGAAGATTCTGGTAAATTTATATCTCATGACTGTTGATTAATTTAAATTGCTTCAGTTTTTTTTTTTTTTTTTTTTTTTTACAATAGATCTTGGCAGTGGTCAAGCTGTCAAAATTCATAATGCACTTTTTTTAACCCAATTATATTGCTTGCTCAATATTCGTGTTCCTTTTTTTATAATAAGATTCTGATATTTCTTTGGAAATCTCTCCCATCTTTATCGAATTAAATTGTGTTGGAACTGCCAATCAAGGTACCCCACCCTATTCAAGGACAATAGGCTGGCATGTGGTTTAAACAGGGCTATTCATACCCCCCTCCTTGGACTTTAAATCTCGACCAGGATCTAAAAACACTGAAGTGCTAAAGAAATTGTTCATTTATAGATTTCATCAGTCTATGATGTTATATATGTTAGATATACCATTACTGTACGTATCACTTAGAAAAAGGTATCAATTTTACAGACAATGTTTTCTTACCACTTATAAATTTTCTCTTTAGCAAAAGAGCTCTTTTAGATGTACTTAGAAATATATTACTCTTGCATGCAAAAAGAAAAATATAAATGAAATAAATTGGCTGAGGTATGCCTAAATCCTCTTCATTTTGTGAATCATTTTTGACTCAGTGTTCTCTTATAAATCAGTTTTTGACTCTGAGTACTTAGTGTTCTTAATTCTCTGAGCCATAAAGACAGCAGATGATGGAGCACATTTTAGTCTCACATATTTTCTTCCAAATCTCTGACATCCATTCAGCAACTTTTGGTACTTGCAGTCATTTCTTCAACACTGAATATTTACTTCACCAATATAAAATATATGCACTGCTGCTGCTTTTATGTGTTTTTGCATACACAGTAGCTTTTTCAATAAACACCAGTTCATAATATAATCAAGATGTTCTGGATGTAAACACCATTAGGTGTGGTTCTCCAATTGTAGGCCATGCTTGTTACTTAGCTGTCGTGAGCACAGTACTAATGTCATGACCAAGTTCTCAAGCACTCACACAAGGTCATGTACTTGAAAAAAAAGCCTTTTTTATGACCATAATTGTGAGATATCATCAATGATAAGACACATCCCAATGTTACAGATGCTAAAATATAAAAAAAAACTTCAGCTTGGAATTGATTAAATATATTTTTTTTATATATTGGTGATGTCATAGTGCCTATAATCTCTAAAACCTGATCTTTCAGACTTTTCTTAATTTAGCAGTTCTTATATGTTTCAGACACTCGCCTAAGTGCTTTACATGGGTTATGTAATTAGAATTCTTGACACACCATATGAGGTAGATACAGTGTGTCTGTGTATATGTATAATACTACAGTTGTACCTGGTATGGGGGCATTGGTTCCAGGACCCACTGTGAATTCCAAAATTCATTGATCCTCAAGTTCCTTATATAAAATGGCATAGTAATATTTGCATATCACCTACACACATCCTGCTGTATATTTTAAATCTTCTCTAGACTACTTATAATACTTAATACACTGTAAATGCTATGTAAATAGTTGTTATAGTATATTTTAAAATTTGTATTATTTTTACTGTGTTTTCCAACTATTTTTAATTTGCTATTGGTTGAATCAGCAAATGTGGAACTCAAAGATATGGAGGGCCAACTGTGTATATAAAATATATAAAGAACATATATAATACATACAAGTATATACAAAATTCTATGTAATAAAAATTGGAAGCAGTCTAAATATCTTTTAGTAAAAGAGAAATTAAACTATACATGGCATGTTAAACTAAATTATAACCAGCTTCAGTGTTAAAGCTGCATAGTGACCCAAGACACTTCTCTAGTGACCTTCCTTAGCTATGAAGTATAAGCTAACCTGGCAGTCATCGCCCTGGGGAAAGGGTGTGAAACAGGAGCAGTATCAACAAATGCCTGTGGGGCCAGGCAGCTGGCCAGTGGATTAGGAATAGGAAGGCCCAGCAACCTCTGCTATCTGCAGAGTGAAGGCCTCCTTTAGAGAGGGAGGCTGTACTCAATTCCAGCTGTTTCCTGGTGGACACATATCCCATTGTTGCTAGATCTGTCAGCTTTTTCAAGAAAAGCCAGGAATCCAGTATTTCACATGAAATTCATTGGCAAGTAGTGAAAAAGACAGCGCAGGCCAAAAATAAATAAATAAATAAATGCAGGACATCATTCAGTTTGGGTAAGGTAAATAAATACAAAGTAAGATAAAGAAGTCAGAGGACTGTCTTGCCTCAGCCTTCATTTTTAAGGTATATGGCCTTCTAGGGAAAAAGGACTACATTTATCAGCTTCCCTAAGAAGAAGGTAGAACTTTGTCACTTGGTAGATTTCAGGAAGCTTCATTAAAAGCAGCCAAAACATGCCCTTTGCTGTTTTTTCCCCCCATCTTCTTCTGCTCCACTGCCTGGAACCCTCTTAAATCTTGAAGACTAGAAAAAACAGATTGGTGAAATGGAAGGAGCCTAAATTCTCAAATACTTTGTGGAACAAAACTGCCAAACCAGTTCTCCTCTTTCTTCTTCCACATTTCTAAGGGAAAAGAAATATATTTCTGTATTTTTAAAACCAATATTATCTGCATATGAAGCTAATGTTAACTTGGAAAATTAAATTTAAAAACTGAGAAACTTGCTAGGCTTTGCAAAGCAGCTCATTAAACTGCCTCCTGTAGCTCCATGCATCTTATATAATGTGGCTGCTGAGGTTTAAGTTACCAAGCAGAATACCAGAATGAAGAAAAGTGTTGTCCATATTTGGGGTTGTTCAGGAAGCATGTACGAGAAAAAGACAAGCCATATTCTAAGCAGTATTTGAAAACAAGCAAACAAAAGAGTATATGTCTGTGTTAAGAGTATATGTCTGTGGCTAGAAATTAAAAAGAGCTGAAGATCACATAATTCTGTTACACATTTTTGTGAGTTGCAAAACATTCTTCAATTCTTTGAGTCATGTGAAGGCTTCAGTAAGCAAAAGCATGGAGATGAAAACAGCAGTGGTAGGGCTAATAACAGAAAAGGGGAAGAACTATAAAACTCTATACAGAAAATGCACATTAAATAGAAAGACAAAAATAGTAAATAAATAAAAGAATGCAAAGAGGGAACACTAATCATAAGAAAACTGTAGTGGACCTATTAGTATGAGACAAAGTAAACTTTAAGACTAGAAATATTACTAGAGATATTAAGAGATATTGTTTTAAAAGGATCAAGTCATCAAGTATATGTGACAATACTAATTGTATTTGTACCCAATTACAGAGCTTCAAAATACAAAAAAAAAAAGAAAACACACACACACACACACACACACACACACACACACACACACACAAAACACCAAAACCAAAACCAATAGAACTGAAAGGAGAAATAGGCAGATTCAAAGTTATAATTGGGTATGCAACTCTCCTCTCTCAGTTAATTATAGAATACAGAAAATTGGTAAGGATATAGAAGATCAGAAGAATACTAACAACCAACGTGGCCTATGATATTTATAGAACACCATTCATACAAAACAACAGAATGCGCATTTATTTCAAGTGCACATTGACTAATCACCAAGAGAGACCATATTCTAGACCATCAAATAAGTCCCAATATATTTAAGGGGAATAAAATCATAGAGAGATCACCACAATTATATTAAATTAAAATCAATTAAAATGGATTTTAGCGTGGCTCTATCACTTAGTTGGTTAAAGCGCCTGTCTCGTAAAATGGATTTTAATCTCACAGGAACAGAAAACAAACACTGAATGTTCTTACTTATAAGTGAGAGCTGAACAATGGGGGCTTAAAGTATTTGAAAATTGAACAATTTCAAATACTAAATAACTCATGGTTCAAAAATCGCAAAAGAATTTGGAAATATTTAACCTAAATAATAGTGAAAACAGAACATAGTGCAATGCAATTAGAACATTGGTTAGAGAGAAGTTATCATTTTATTATAGTTTTAGTATTTTATTTTATATTTACTTATTTTTTAATCAACTTTTATTTTAAGTTCCAGGGTACATGTGCAGAATGTGCAGGTTTGTTACATAGGTAAACATGTGCCCTGATGGTTTGTCCCACAGATCAACCCATCATCCAGGTATTAAGCCTGGCACCCATGAGCTGTTCTTGATGCTCTCCCTCCCTCCGGCCCCCTGACAGGCCCCAGTGTATGTTCTTCACCACCATGTGTCCATGTGTTCTCATCGTTCGGCTCCCACTTAATAAGTAAGAACATGTGGTGTTTGGTTTTCTGTTCCTGCATTAGTTTGCTGAGAATAATGGCTTCCAACTCCATCCATGTCCCTGCAAAGAACATGATCTTGTTCCTTTTTATGGCTGCATACCATTTCTTATTGTATATGTACCACATTTTTAAAATCTAGTCTGCTGTTGATGGGCATTTGGATTGATTCTAGGTCTTTTCTATTGAGAATAGGCTGCAATGAACATACACGTGCATGTATATTTATAATAGAATGATTTATATTCCTTGGAGCACATACCCAGTAAAGGGATTGCTGGATCAAATGATATTTCTGCTTCTAGATCTTTGAAGAATTGCCACACTGTCCTCCACAATGGAGGAACTAATTTACATTCCCACCAAAAGTGTAGAAGTGTTCTTTTTCTCTGCAACCTTGCCAGCATCTGTTGTTTTTTGACCCTTGACTTTTTAATAATTGCCATTCTGACTGGCATAAGATGGTATCTCGTTTTTTGTTTGTTTGTTTGTTTTTTGAGGCGGAGTCTTGCTCTGTCACCCAGGCTGGAGTACAGTGGTGCAATCTCGGCTCACTACAACCTCTGCCTCCCGGGTTCAAGTGATTCTCTTGCCTCAGCCTCCTGAGTAGCTGGGATTATAGGTGCGTGCCACCACACCCAGCTAATTTTTGTATTTTTACTAGAGATGGGGTTTCACCATGTTGGTCAGGCTGGTCTCCATCTCCTGACCTCGTGATCCGCCCACCTCGGCCTCCCAAAGTGCTGGAATTACAGGCGTGAGCCATGGCACCTGTCCCCTCATTGTGGTTTTGATTTGCATTTCTTTAAATCCTTACATGGAAAAGAAGAAAGGCCTTAAATCAGGTGCAAACATTCTTAAAAATTATTCTGTCCCATGATGATATTTTAGTGAACAAAGGGGAAAAAAGGAGTCAATTCTACAAAAATTCTTTTAGAAAATAGAAGGAACATTTTCTAACTCATTTTATGAGGCCAGGAATACCATGACATTAAGCCAGACAAAACTTTTAAAAGAAGAAAAAACTACAGATAAATGTCTTTCATGAACATACAAAATTGACACAAAAATCCCTAATAAAATGTATAAAAATGGATTACCCAAGAATACAATATTGGTTTATCATTTGAAAATCAGTCAATGTAATTCACCATATTAACTGATCAAGAAACAAAATATGATCATTTGCTTGTCAGCACCTAGCATTTTATTGTGAGCAAGAGACCTCATTAATTCTCCCATTTCTCTCTCTCTCTCTCATCATGATAGACTCATATATTATTTTTTTCAATGATTTATAATTCATTGCTGTCCTTATTTATCTTGTTCAAATGGTCTTCAAATTGGTTCTTATTTTCTTGTGAAATGTTCCACATCATGTTTTGGATAGCTCTTACTTTCTGGCAGAACTAATGTTCCAGGCTCATCTTGTACCTGCCCTGCCCTAACCCTGGAATTAGTCATTACTCAGAAGAGCCCTGGTTCCTTTTTAGGTTGAGTGGTAGTAGAGACTAAGATCTGGTATCTAGACATGCTCATTGCAGTCATTGCTGTTGGGGACCTTTGCCCTTTCAGTGAACTAAATTAGAAAATATATGCATGTGTATACTCATACATACATACTACCCACATAGATCGTATGCATGTTCACATAAACAAGGATATGTATATGTGGGTAGAAAACCATACACACATACACATACATCTGTATTTTTATATATACATACATGTACATGCATATATACATCATACACACATATTTTAGAAATTCTAATCCATTCCAATAGGGTTCTTTCTTGCCTTGCCCCATTCCACATTTTATGTCCCTTCTAGGTCGTGCATTTTTATATTTTGCTTTTATTTTTAGTTTCTGGTCATATTGCACTGAGATAAGTGTTTACAGAGTATTTCCACTGCATGAAAGTTACTATGTTTTTGTGTGTGCCTTAATATAGAG